>NC_000012.12:72157097-72308612 GCF_000001405.40 Homo sapiens
GCAACTACACTGATTTTTTCTTTTTCTTTTTTTTTTTTTGAGCTCTGTCGCCCAGGCTGGAGTGCAGTGGCGTGATCTCAGCTCACTGCAACCTTAAATGATGGTTCTAAAAAATCCAGCAGTATAGAATGTGAAGACAGTGATAGAAGATGAAGACAGAGAGGTAGCTAGGATCCTTGAAGGGCATGGTGAGGGTTTTAGTTTTGCTTCTAAATATAATGGGAAGAGATTAGAAGCTTTTGAGCAGAAGAGTGACATTATCTCATGTGTTTTAGGAAGATCATCTTAGCTGCTGTGTGAAGGAGCAAATGTTCGAAGTACAAGGATATTTAGGAGGCCATTATAATAGTTCAAGCAAGAGATGATGGTGGCTTTGATCTGGTGATAGTAGCAGAAGTGGTGAAACACTGTCAGGTTCCAAGTATACTTAAAAGGAAGAGCTAATAGGATTTGCTGATGGATTGGATATGGAGTCTTAGAAAGAAAGGAATCAAGTAAGATTCCAATAGTTTGACCTTATATACCTGGTGAATGGTGGTGCTAGTTTTAGAGTTGGGGAAGACCATGGAAGAAAATGGGAAGGGGAAAATAAGAAGTTCGTTTGAGTATTAAGCAGCAGATGCCTATTAGATTTTTCTGTGAAGATGTTGAATTGACTGTTGAATATACAAGCCTGGAACTCAGGGTCAGGTCTGGAGATGGAAATTTGGAGATACTGACATTTGGATAGTAATAAAAGCTGTAGAAATAGATGAACCAGATAGGGAGTTAGTTTAGCAGGGAAAAGAGAAGAACATTGAGAAAGGAGCCTGTGATTTGGAGATCAGATGGGAAAAGGCAAGAGGTAGGAGAAAGGTGAGAAAGGTGTGGCATCTCAAAAACTAAACTGAGTATTTGAGGGAAAAGGGCACGATCAGTGTGTCAAATAGTGCTGGGGAGTCATATAGGAAGAGGACTGAGAATTGACTGCTGGATTTCATATGTAAAGTTCACAATGTTCATGCAAAAATGTTTTGGTAGGAGATGTCAATGAAAGTCTGACGGAGAGGGTTTGGGAAAGAAAAGTGAGAAAATTGCAAGAGGATATAGGCAATGAATTTTTTTATTTTTTCTGTAAAAGGGATGAGAGGAATGGGATGAAAGCTAGAATGGAATACAATGGAATACAGAATCAAGAAAAGTTTGTTCTTAAACCAGCACTTGTACCCCGTGAATCTAAAATAAAAGTGAAATTATATGTATATATATAATATATATGTTTCATACATTCATATGTGTATATATTATATATATCTTTCATACATACTTATATATGTAGAAGAGCAGGCTCATTTGTTATGATGTGTGTGTAATTGCCTCTTTGTGTCTTTCAGTAATTCTCACCTTTTTATTGATTTATTAGTATTATTTTTATATTAGAAACAATAATTGTTTATCAAATATGTTGTAACTTTTCATTTGGGTTGCCATTTATTATTCAGTCTTATTTCTGGTATTACTTTTTAAATACAGTCATAAATTTGTATACAGTAAAGACTATTCATCTTTTTCTGTTTCAATTCTTGCTTTGGTGTTTATGTAACCCAGATGTCAGGTTTTCTTTCAGAATTAAATAAGATTTGCATAATCCTCTGTTCTGTTTTGTTGGAAGCCTTTCCTAAGATATCTGCAAATTCCTGATGGCTTATATCTTATAGCATTTTCTGACTTCATGAACATCTGATTTTCTGAGTCTATTTACTTCTTTTTGATTCCATGCTAACTTATTCACCATTCCTTGAATTTCTCAAAACCCATTCACACAAGAGATTGAGATTTATTTATTCTTACAAATGGCCAATCAATGTGCCAAGTGCTGAATACCCCTCTTCTGCCTTAAATGCCATTTTAATATATTCAGAACTTCTACATAAGCTTGGGTCTGATTCTAGATTCTTTAGTTAATTCTGTTTGATCTGTCAGTCTACAATATGATTTTAATTACAGTAACTTTATTTATTCATTTATTTAATATATTTATTGACTATGTAACATGTACCAATCACTAGCAAATGCTAAGAACACAGTGGTCAACCAGGCAAATATGGGTTTCTCTTTTTGTGAAGCTTAAATTTTAGTAGTAGAAAGTTACTGATAATTAACCACAGAATATGTTGAATAAAAACAAAAACAACAATAATTGTCAAGAAACACATACTTAGAGTACAGTAATAGTAATTCAATGATCTACTTTGTAGAGGAAGATCAGGAAAGACTTCTGATACTTTATTTAACATTAGACCTCACAACAGAAGGATGGGAATGACCCAGCCACATGAATTCTTTCAACTAGGCAGCGATGAAGCTAAGGCAATGGCAGAACTTCACTAATATGTATGTAGATGACATGATTCTTCTTCTTAGCAGTTTTGTATTTGTTAACCTTGAACTGCCATTTCTTCAAGATGATATATAATTATTTTTGACTATATGTAGGGATTTTCAAATCAGATATCTAACTTTGGCAAAATACGTTTGAAAATGTTATATCTTCCAATTATTTTGTTTTCTTCAGGCATGCCAACTAGCTATACATTGGACCTCTCTTGCTTTCACTTCATATCCATCTTTTTCAATTTAATTTTTTTCTCATCCTGTCTTTATTTCTGTATGATTTACTCAAGTCTGTCCTCTACATTATGGATTTTGTTTTCTCTGTCTTTTCTCTGCTTTTCACTGCTGCAAATACTATGTTAAGTTCTCCCATGGTGTTTCTTTTTTCTAATTTCTTTCCTTTCCTTTCCCAGTTCTCTTTTCATCTCATTTTGTTGTCATATTGTCTCATCTTACATCTCTCATTTTATAGCATTCTTGATCTTTCTAAGTGCTTTAGAGGTTAGTTATTTTCTAAATCTAATTGTGAAATTATCTCCTCCTAATTGTGCTCTTCTTCTACCATTCATGCCATGCTTTTATTTTTTCTTCTTTAAGGGGACAGAATTTTTGCATAGGTTTGATGTTCCTTTCTTCTTTTTCCTCTGCTATTTATTTCAAAAAAATTCTCTCTGGTTATGTTACATACCCACATTGTTGGCCAAGGTTTCTTGGCTGCCCTCCCTGCCTCTCTGATTTCCATTTGAATACTGCTAGGAACTAAGTTGGAACTCACAGTCAGTCAGTGGCTCTCAAAGTGTGGTCCACAAAACAGCAGCATAAGCATCTTCTGGCACTTACTAGAAGTGCAAATTCTTAAGCCCCCATCCCAGGTATCTTGAATCAGAATCTCTGGGATAAAACCCATCAATCTATATTTTAAAAGGACCTCCTCGCGGGCATGGTGGCTCATATCTGAAATCCCAACACTTCGGGAGGCCAAGGCGCGTGGATCACCTGAGGTCAGCAGTTTTCAACACTAGCCTGCCAAACATAGCAAAACAACATCTCTACTAAAAATACAAAAAAATTAGCTGGGCTTGGTGGAGGGCACCTGTAATCCCAGCTACTTGGGAGGCTGAGGCAGGAAAATCGCTTGAACCTGGGAGGCGGAGGTTACAGTGAGCCGAGACTGCGCCACTGCACTCCAGCCTGGTGACAGAGCGAAACTCCATCTAAACAAACAAACAAAACAAAATGAAACAAAACAAAACAAAAGAAAAAACTTCCTCATGATTCTTAGGAGTATGAAGTCTGAGAACCAATGGTTTAGATATGTTTCCCTGCTCCCTCTACCCCACGTAGTTCCCATTTTATTTATGTTCATGCCACAGTTCTAAATACTAGAATTCTGGGGCAATGTACTTCAAATTTATTACTGTTTTGTTGGCAGTATTTAGTGTTATATGGGTGTTTGAGTAGAACTCTTCACTGTCCTGGAATTCCTTTTCATATATTCAATACCAGAGATTTTTTGGTTTGTTTTAGTAAATACAAAATTATTTTTGGTTCCTCTCACCTCTATCTCCTTTCTCACTGGCTGCAAATTGTACCTGTATTGTATGACCTGCTCCTCTTAGTTGCTGATAGACTTTGCCACTAATAGTATGTGTTATTAGTTGTAGCAAATAAAAAATTTTGCCAGCCAGCTGCAGTGGCTCATACCTGTAATCCCAGCACTTTGGGAGGCCAAGGCTGGCAGATCACGAGGTCAAGCGATAGAGACGATCCTGGCCAACATGGTGAAACCCTGTCTCTACTAAAAATATAAAAGTTAGCTGGGCGTGGTGGCACTCGCCTGTAGTCCCAGCTACTTCGGAGGCTGAGGCAGGAGAATCGCTTGAACTCGGGAGGTGGAAGTTGCAGTGAACTGAGATCTCGCCACTGCACTCCAGCCTGGCGACAGAGCGAGACTCCGTCTCAAAAAAAAAAAAAAAAAAATTGCTGCATTGATCCAAATTTGGAAGAATATCTGTGATGTTAGCTATACATCAGTATGCTGCTATATACATTTAAGAGCCAGTGGTTTATATTATGTGTCTGGTCATATTGATTTTTGTGGTAGGTAAGATGAGAACTAGAGCCATGCTCCAACATAAGAGCTTTTTTTTCTGGGTTATCTGTGGGTGAACTGGAACTTTTGTACTGGAAGATAAGCTTTTTAGATTTGAGAACATATCCTGCTTTGTTGGCAGAAGTATAGGGAGAGGATTGGTTTATTTTCATATTTAAGAATGAGTTGGCTAATTTGGTGTGATGTCAAATGAAAAAGAACTTCCATATGGCAGATTACAAAGGAATCCAGGAAAACTTTTAAGGCTAACAGATATGTTTATTTGATCTTGATATGTGTTTTCATGGGTATGAACACTCATCCCATTGTACACTTTAAATATAGATAGTATATTGCATATTATGCCTTAATAAATCTGTTTTAAAAGCTCCATGGGTTTTGTAGGCATGTCTATACAGTTTGCCCAATAGTATGGTTTGTGGATGTGGATCATTTACTATGGCACTTAGTAAATTTTCCTGTCTTCCCATCATCCATAGGACAGAGAGAAAGTATGGCAAGACATACTGGCTTTGTTAGGCCTATCACTGTGATTTTTGAAGTGTTTCTGATACTCAGTGAAAAACGTACTACAAGATATTTTGGCTAACATTCATCCTAGCTCTCTTCTTGTATGCTGAGAATGGAAAGCAGAAACAATATTCCTAGACTCTTTAGAAATATTATTGCATGAGACTTTGATTAGAAGAATGAATGTAGCAGACAGAGGTAGAATATTGGGGCACAGGTTGCTGCAGAGGTGACATGGTTCTGGAGCCAGCATATTAAGTGGTGACCTCCTAATGTGGAGATGGTTTCCTGATCCAGATTCTTCCTGTCACAGTGGTGGCAGTGTTTCAGTCACATCAGAATTAGTATGGTTTTGCAGTCAACAATAGTGCAAATAGACTCCTGATTTATTATCTTCCTGCATTGGCGATGGTTGCTTTTTCATTCACAGTAGTGGCAGAATGTTTCTGAGGGCTAGAAGTTGGTCCTGGGAGATTAGCCTGGAGCCAGTTCCTCCAGCTGTTCAAATTTATGTAAGCACTGAATTCCCTACATAAAACTCTTTCTGCTTAAACTAGTTAAAGTGGATTCTGTTGTGTGCAATGGAGCTCTGAGTGATAAAGTAATTAGCAGAAGTGGTTGCAGGCAATAGAACATAAAAAATAGGACTTTATTGTATGTACAGGCTATTATGGCACTGAGTGAGCAATTACTTAAATTATCACTTCTGGTTATCTGAAATGCTATTGAAGGCAAGGATTTGGAAGAGAGAATGACTATTGTGATAGACAATCATAGGGGGCATGAGGAAGAAAAGGACTTTGGGGTGGGTTTTTTTTTTTTTTTTCAAATTGTGTTTGTGAACGAAAAGAAAGTGATAGGCTCAATATTTTAAATTCTTAGCTCTAGGAACTGTCTGAGAATCAAGGAATTTCTACAACTGTTCTCGAAAAAGCTGTCATCTTTTGTAGCCTCAAGACTAATTTAGATGGAAATCAGATGGAAAGCCTGATGCTGCAGTTTGTTGAATTATAAGGTAGGTTGAATTTACAGTTTTACCATTTGTTTTTCAAAAAATTGAAAACATTGCCTTAGAATGAGATAGACCTCATCATTGAAAGGGTTTCATTTAGGAGGATTTGAATATATATGCATACCCTTGAACCTTACCAAGTCTCTCTTGCCAGCTAAAGCAGCTCCTCCTTTGCCTGATGATGTTGATTTTGCCTCCCTTGAATACCTATAACAGCTTGTCTGAGGCAGGTTCCTCTCAAAGGGATGACGGTTCTCTTCTTGCAGTATCTTTACTAACTTTATTGTTACCACATCCATAGCCAGTCAGATTCCTGCATATCTCAGGCAACAATTGCAATGTCAAGCCTTAGGGGAAAAGGTTTTTAAATGAAATGAGTTAAATAATTTTTGTGAAGATATTTATAACAGCAGAAAACTAGAGATTATGTGTGGGAAATGGATTTTGATGTTGCTAGACCAAGGCTTTGATAGGTCTAAATTCATGATATGGACACAATTACCAGAGATGTGGGATTCAGTGTGTAGGCTGAGCATCTGAGAGTATTTATGTTTGTTCTGATAACTGATGAATCCTAGACTTAATGGCGGCTTAAGCTAAATGAAATTGAGATGCCGTACATTTTTGAATATCTTAAAAAAGAAGAAATGCACATCTTAGAATGGGTTTAACATGTAATTAGTTTAATTGTCCTACAACTATGTCTCTCAAGGGTACTCAAATCGGCAGAGCGCGGTGGCTCATCCCTGTAATCCCAGCACTTTGGGAGGCCGAGGTGGGTGAATAACCTGAGGTCAGGAGTTTGAGACCAGTCTGGCCAACATGGTGAAACCCTGTCTCTGGTAAAAATACAAAATTAGCTGGGTGTGGTGGCACATACCTGTAGTCCCAGCTAGCTGGGAGGCTGAGGCAGGAGAATCACTTGAACCCCAGAGGTGGAGGTTGCAGTGAGCAGAGATCCGCCACTGCACTCCATCCTGGGTAACAGGAGCGAAACTCTGTCTCAAAAACAAACAAACAACAAAACAACAACAACAAACAAAATTCATCGATAAATGCATTGATGAGGGTAGTTTTTTTGACATGGCTGTTTTCTATAGGCTGGAAATAAAGACAGACATGTTGCCATTCAAATGGTATCACAACTTTAATGGGGATGTAGAATTTTATGTAATGAAGGCCAACTCTGGCGACAACCACATCAGAAAGCCTGAGCAGAGTTACCTCGATAGGCGGAAGGGTAAGGGTGGTTTGATGGTGTTGTGCTGAACTCTTATTAACCTCAATAGGGAAGGCGCCAGGTTCAAGAGGCTGAAGAGAAGACCCAGAGCCAGAAAATGAGACATGGGGTTTTAATAGGGTCTTACATGCAGGGGAGAGAGTCCAGTGGTGGTGAGCTGAACAGAACTACCTTACTTACAGAAATGATCCTGTGGTGGCAGGCTGGACAAGATGTCCACCTTACATACAGTCCAGTGGCAGTGGGCTGGCTAGACAAGTTATCTACCTTACATACAGTCCAGCAGCAGCGAGCTGGACAAGATAACCACACGACCCAGTGATGACAGAATGGGCAGGAAAACTGCCACTGCTTGCAAACAGCATGTAGTTTGTATAGCATTTTCACTTAACAACACTTTCCTCACTGACCTCCACCTGGCAACCCTCACTTAACCCAAAACTCGGGGCCTCAATCCCCTATAAGTCCTGTGTTGCAAGGGATGAGCTAGGGGCACAGATGTTTTTCACAGACTAGGAACAAATCTCTGGGCCGGCCACTTCCAGATTCCCAAGCTTGGAACACACATTCAGGGGCACCTGCCATACAGGGTCATTCTAAGGGTATGCTTACATTATTGCTATCAGGTGCATTTACCCTACAGCTGACATAAATGTTTAGTGTGGTTTATTGATCTTGGGGCCCTAGGAATAAAATAGATGGGCAGCTCACTAAAAACTCAAGGTCTGTGAACAAACACCTGAAATGAGATACTATGATAATCATGGCCTCCCCACCAATTCCCAGATCTGTCAGCACGTGGATGAGCCTCTTGAATGAAAGGGAATCATTGCTCTCTCTGTGACTTTGGATTATTCCTTCTTTGTTACACCAAGGGACTTCTGGAATCTTTATTCATTCTAGTATACCATCAAATTCAAGTTTTCAGTTCACCAATGATCCTTGAAGATAGACTACCAACATCTCACAAGCACATACCATAAATCTTCCTCCCATTGCTGATAATAAGTTAATAATGTATGGAGTAAAAGAAAATACTCAGATCTTTCAGCAATTATTGATATTGGTTCTGAAATAACACTAATCCCTGGGGACCAAACTGCCACTACGGTCTACTTGTCAGGGTGGGAGGCTTATAGGTTCTAGTGAGAAATGCAGTTTTAGCCAATGTCTACCTCAGAGTATTTTTTGGTAGATTTATGTGTATATACTATGATTATTTTTCCAATTCCTGAGTATAGAATTTATATATACATGTATGTATATATAAACATACATAGTCACACTTTGCTTAACTTAATATATAATAAGTCACACATATTCTGAGAAATGCATTTTTTTTTTTTGAGATGGAGTCCTGCTCTATCGCCCAGGCTGGAGGGTCAGGGGCACGATCTTGGCTCACTGCAAGCTGCGCCTCCTGGGTTCACACCATTCTCCTGCCTCAGCCTCCTGAATAGCTGGGACTACAGGCGCCCGCCACCACGCCTGGCTAATTTTTTTGTATTTTTAGTAGGGACGGGGTTTCACCGTTTTAGCCAGGATGCTCTTGATCTCCTGACCTCATGATCTGCCCGCCATGGCCTCCCAAAGTGCTGGGATTACAGGTGTGAGCCACCGCCCCCGGCCGAGAAATGCATTGTTAAGAAATTTTGTTGCTGAGTGAACATCATAGAGTGCACTTACCTTATACAAACCTAGATGGTTATAGCCCACTGCACACCTAGGCTGTATGCCATAGCCTATTGTTCCTAGGCTACAAACCCGTACAGTGCAATACTGTACTGAGTACTGTAAGCAATTGTAATGCCAGGGTATTTGTGTATCTAAAGATATCTAAACATAGAAAAAGTATAGTAAAAATACACTATTATAATCTTATGGGACCACTGCCATATATGTGGTTCATTTTTGACAGAAATGATGTTATGTGGCACATGACTGTGTATGTACATGTGGAGATATATATATATACACACACACACATATACACATATATACACATATATACACACATATATATACACATACATATATCTATGCACACACATATACAATTACCAGCAGAATTCACACATGCCATACTCTCTGTGGTAACTAACAATCCTCCTTTTGAAGAACAGCTCTTGGTGTGCTATGAGACTCTAGCAGGGACTAGATATCTATATGAGCTATTTCTCATGAATTTGGCAGTGTCTGATTCACCAAGTCATAAATTATGGCATAATCAGCAGTGCTCTATCCTTAAGTGAAAGTATTACATATTTCTAAGGCTTGTGCAGGTTCCTCTGATGCGCTCCATTCTTCCTTTAACCCACACCTAGGACTGGATGGGAAGTTTCATATGACCTGAGAAAGAAAAATACCAAATCCTGTATAAAGATGATTTCTCAAGACATGGGGCATGAGCTGGAAGTAGACTGGCTGCTGAAGCATTACAGCTTTGCTCAGGGGGGTTAATGAAAGACAGAGGAGAAGGAAATCCTCCCAATGGGCAGAACATACAGTGATAAATCTAATAGTCTATTTTGCCTAGAATGGAAGAATAAAAGGTAGATGAACGTGTGTGTGTGTGTGTGTGTGTGTGTGTGTGTGTGTGTGTGTGTGTCTCAATCATGGGCAATAGCTAATGGCTAAGGGTTGGAAAGATTTGAGGACTGACGACAAATGTTTGAGGAAGAAATAGGTAGATGACCCTTTGGATGCGCCCAGGGGCTGAGGCATGTGTCCTTTATGATTACTCTCCAAAAGGTCTCACTCTGAGACATGGTTCTTAAAATCAAGTGAACATGATGGTCACTTGTTAGGTGAGAGAGAAACTCTTTCTCCAGCCACTCCAGTGTTGGCTCAATAGGCTAATCAGCAAAGTGACTATGGTAGCACAGGTGGATTTCTCTATGAGTTTAAGTACATGAACTTTCTTCCACCGTAGTTGATATGGTTATATATCAACTAACTGCCCAAACTGCAAGGAACAGAGAATCATGCCTTGGTAGTCTGGTGGTAGACAGATTATATGAAGCCCTTTACATCATGGAAAGAACAGTAATTTTCTGCCCTGGAAATGGATTATTCAATCTAGATTTGGATTTACCTTCTCTGCTTACAAAGCTAACATCTGAGGACTACTAAACAGATTATTTGCAGTATCCCACACAATACTTTTTCTGACCAAATAATGAATTTTTATAGCAAAAGAAATAAAGCATCAGGTTGATGCTTAAGGGACTTCACTGGTAATACCAATCCAGAAGCAGTTGCTGTATACAATGATGGAATGGCCTACTGAAGACTCATTTATGACAGCATGTAAGTAACACACCTTGTGGGATTAAGGTGCTTTCTTACCAGATGTGTTATTTACTTTAAACCATTGATAAACATATTTCTCCCATAATTGGAATACATGGAGCCTGAAAATGTAATGGGAGACATGGGAATCACATCTCTCAGAATTATATCAAATGTCCTACTTATAGCATTTTGTTTCTTGCTGCTGAAATTTTAGGCTCTGCTTGTTCAGAGGCCTAAGTATCTAAGAGAAGACTGTGTCCTCCAGGGGTACAAAAATTTAACTGGAAGACGAAACTATCAACTGGCTTTCTTAGGAAAAAGAGGCTAATCCTATATTGGTGGGCATAATTGATTCTAATTATGAAGGGAGAAACAGAGAGAGGAGTATGGCTACAACACTAGTCATTGTATGCCATATAATGCTAGACATTCTAGAATGTCTCCTATAACTGCCAGTCTATAACTGAAGGACTAAAGCAGATATGCATATTTTGGAGATTGTTTTGTTGTTTGGAAATACTAGTATGAGAAAATAGGTTTTATGTAGATACTGGGTAAACTGAAAGCAGCTTTTTAAAAGAAATATTCCAAATTTTCTAGAATGAAAGGTTGACAAACTAAAAACCACATTTTCAGGCTCTCTTGCAGCTGGAGTTCTGGACATAATTTAGATGATACCAATCAGAAGCATCTTTTTGTATGTGATAGATTTATTATTAATTGATTCACATGGGTAGTTCTCATTGATGTGAGACATCCATTTTGCTTATATAAACAGAGGAGGATAGAGGTTGTATGGTTCTGGGGTCATCTGCTAAAGCTTTCTCATTTAGAATGTGACTCCCTGATTCAGTAGGTTCTTGCAGAAGAAGCTTTCTTGATCATAGCAGAGACAGTGTGAATTTGGGAGCTGTTCAGATTCAATCCTGCTCCTCTTGACCTTCCAGCAATTTTGTTAAGTACATAGATTTCTACATTGGATCCTGTTATGTTTTGACTAGCTAGGATGGATTTTATTTTCTGCAATTGAACTTGTCCAACATCTCTTCCCTCCAACTGGAGATATTAGTGAAATTTTTTTTTTCTGATAAATTTCCACTTCCAATCATGTCATGCTATTCTTTTGAGAAGGTAAACAATGTAGATTATTGGCAACTTGTTTTAATTTAGTCCAAATGTAGACAATGTTTCTCAAATGTTCTGCTCTAAGGTTAGGATTCTGTCTTATTTACAGGACTGAGTTTCTTTACTAATTTTGATTCTTTCTTAGAAATTTATTTTCAACAGAAAAGAGACCTTTAATAAGTTATTACATAAAAAATCCTGAACTGATTTATTTTAAAGTTATTTTAATTTCAAGCTCAGTTTACATTCTGTTGCTCAAGCTGGCAAGCTATATAACCATGCCTTCCTCATCTATTTGGGGATTCCTTGAAATAGGAGAACAGATTTGTCTAAAGATATCCTCTCCAGTTCTCAAGTTATGTCAATGAAACAGACTTTTTTTTTTTTTTTAAAGAAGACCAAGTGTTCAATTCTACAAACCAGTGGAAGTTTCAGTGGTTCTCAACCTTGGCTATACACAGAATAATATGGGAAGCTGCTAAAAAGTATTAATGCAAGGGTCACAACTCTGATAAATCATTCTCTTAGGGGGTATGCATTTTTAATAACCTCCCCCAGATGTTTCTGATTCACAATTATTGTTAGTCTGCCTAGACTGCCAAACAAAATGCCATATCCTAAGTGGCTTAAACAACAGGAATTTATTTTCTTACATATCTGGAGGCTAGACGTCTCAGATCAAGGTGCTGTCAGAGTTGATTTCTGTTGAAGCCTTTCTTCCTGGCTGGTAGATGGATTTTTCTCTGTACCAGTGTGGAGAGAAAGAGATCTCTGTGTCTCTTCCTCTTCTTATAAAGGTGCAAATACTAGTTGGGTGCAATGGCTCACACCTGTAATCCCAGCACTTTGGAAGGCCGAGGTGGGAGGATTGCTTAAGCCTAGGAGTGCAAGACCAATTTGGGCAACATGGTGACACCCTGTCTCTATAAATAATAATAATAATAACAATAATAATAATAAAAGAAAGATACAAATACCCTCAGAAAAGGGCCCCACCCTTATGACCCCATTAAACCTTAATTACATCCTTCAAGGCTCTGTCTCCAAATATAGTCATTCTTGGGGTTAGAACTTCAATATATGAATTTTAGGGGACACAGTTCAGTCCATGATATTGGTGACTGATAATCACAGCTTTAGTGGAATCACTCGGACTTTGGGGTTAGATCTTAGGACAAAAGAAAAAGCCAGAGAATCACAATGTTATACCAGATTTAGGCTATGTGGCAACTTGGCAACTTCCACAAGGTAGAATGGAGAGAAGTGACAATAAATAGGAACGGTATGGGCTGGAAGCAGGAGCTAGTCGACCAGAACGTATCGTCTTGGTAGAATGGCAGGCTCAAGTCCAGTTCAAGCTGGCATAAGGTGTTAAGGCTAGTATAGCCCATTTAAGGGTGGATTACAATAATGAGACTTGTCAAGGGCTGGATTTCTTAAAGTGATGACTTCTGAAGTAGATAACAAGAATATGAGAGCCAGGGTCCAATTTCAGTGACAGGAGTAGTAGAGAATAGATACATGGTTCTGGAAACTGGTTTTCAGAACAATGCTCTTGACTTAATGTGAAAATTGGAAAGTAAGTCTTGAGGCCTAAAAAGCCAACAAGGACACGCAATGAGGTTAGAGAAGATTTAACAGAAGACTAAATCTATCCCCATGGTCAGCTGATGTGGGAACAGCTGACTATCATTAAACTCACTTGTTGGTGGTGTAAAGAATCTTTTTAATACTGATATGGCCCTCATTGGTCTACTTTCTGGAGCAGTGGTTCTCAAACTTTAGTGAGCATCAGGACCACCTGGAGTGGTTGTTCAAGCAAGGATTGCTTGGCTCTACCTTTGATGTTTCTGGCTCCATAGATCTAGGATGGACCTATTCCGACTCAAAAGGTCTGGGGTGGATGAAGAGTTTGCTCTTGTAACAAGTTTTTAGATGCTGCTGGTTTGGAGACCACTTTAAGAATAACTAATCTTGTGTGCATGTAGTAGACAATTTATATGTGAATGCTTAAAAAGGTAAAGCATTATATATGTGTGCCCATCTCCACAATTTCTCTCTCTCTCTGCCTTTCTCTCTCTGCACAAATAGTAAATAGGAAAACTCAGAGAATGTAGGAAAGCAACTTTTGATAGTTGGAGACAGGGTGTTATAATAGATATCCAGGAAGCTAATCTATTCGAGAGCTTCTGGGTAATGGGAAAGAATCCTCCAGATAATACTCAACCAAGAAGTTATTATTTCTTCCTAAAGCTAAGGAGACCAATAAGTTCTCTTCTATCATAACAGTGGCCACGTGTTTTAGCAAGGGTTACTGGCCCTTTTCAGTGTGCCTATTATCAGAATTCCTTGATATAAATTAACTTGTGCTCTTCTCTCAGTTTCCTTTCTCACCTTCACACCACCAAAGATAGATTCTCCTCAAAAGGAAAATTAGGGATTTAGGGAAGGAATCTTTAGAAAAAGAGGCCTTATCTAAATGTCCAAGAAAAAAAAAATAGGATTAGTTTTGTTAGTCCAAAGCTTAAGGAAAAGGGGAAAAGACCCAGGCTCTCACTTACAAGTGTTCTAGCTCTGCTTTGTATAAATGTGAGAAGGGCTCTTTCTAATGTAGCTTAGGCTTAAAAAATTATTTGGATGATTATCTGATAGATGACAGGAAAATATAATGAGAAAGGGGACTTTTTCTAATTTACATTGAGTCTCCATTTGGGCTAGCAGATTCCCGGCAGAATCTCTGGTTAGGGGAGATTGGTGGACAAAAGGAGAGGAGTATAGCCTGGTATGAAAGATTGTGCCCAGATGTCCTGGTCCATTTCTGAGGGTGCGCCTATATTTGTGTTGCTGCCTAGAAGTTGTCAAGTGAGTGGTCTGAGAGAAGGACCAATGAGAGGGATACTTTTCTCATGCTGCAGAACTGAGTGGGACCAGGGAGCCAACACAAGGCCACTGCCTTTGGGATAGCTCCCAGAAGAGGGTGTCTTAGTGACTAAGAATGCTATGGCCTATGTTTCCCAAGAGCTCTCCTACTGATTGTCCTATCATTATATGAGTCATATTGTCACCTGTCCATGCCTGAAGACTTGCTCACCAATCTTCCAGCTGTTGAATTTGTGAGACTTTAAGTTGCCCACATTCAGAGTCATCAAATGAGTGGGATAATATACTACATGAGCCTTCAGTCTTCACATGCCCACTGTTCAATTGCCCTGTGAGAATGCTTTCTCCCAAAACCTAATAACACTCTTAAGGCACAAGAGGGTTCTAGACATTTAATGGAGTAAGTTTTTGAGAAGGACCTGCCATATCTCTACCACTGGACAGGGTAAGGGCATATCAGTATCTTCCAAGAAAGGCACAAATGGAGGAAAATATATCTCTTATACATAGAAAGCTACATGGCCAATGTCTTGGCTCTTCATTCATCTATTAAGTAACAAACGGGACGGAATATATGGTTCAACTGAAGTTGGTTAATGTATGACCTATATATGATTGCAGACATAAAGATTGAGAACACTGCATGACAGCTAACCTTGATTCAAGAATTACTGCATGCCAGATACAATTCTAAGCCTTTCACAAGTATTATCTTATTAAATGTCCAAGCAAGTCTATCAAGTAAGCATTTTTTAATTTTCTCATCTTAAATATGAGGCAACCAAGTTTAACTCAGGTCTGCGTGTATAGTGCCTGTACAAGCAGTGCCTATATAGTGCCTACAGTACAGCACTATACTGACTCTGTAGGACAGAGTTATGTAATTAATGTATTCCAGTTTAGATTCAAGGGTATGACCAATATAACACTGACTGGTAGTCATTAGGGATGGGCACCAATATGAGTAGGGGTGGGAAATATCAAAGAAGGTTTCAAGTACAGGAGATGAAAGTGACATGGAGTAGAACCAAACCTAAGATAATACCATGGCCACTCATAACTAAAGTTTTCATCAGTGTCCTAATAATTCCAGGATTAAAAGATGCTTCATGAGAAGTTGGTTCCAATGTTAAATATGCTTACTAGAAGCTGCAGAGGATAGCTGCTTCTTAAAGATGCATAGTATAAATTAGCTTATTACCAGAACCTGTTTAATGTTGGTTTTACTCAACATTTTTCAAACATATGTGGTTGCAGATCTCTTTTATGTGTAACAACAAATTCCCCCAAAGGCTCTGCTGCCCTAGTGAGATGAGATTAGTAGTCAACTTCAGAAACACATTGAAGGTATATCAGAATACTATTTTTTATTAGTGTATTGCACTTAAAATTTTTATTCTTGTATTTATGTTTGAGCTACTGACTAGTGAGCTATAAATAATTCATTCCAAAATAAATTATTTTAACTACATCTTTCATTGTTTCTATAATGCCCAAATAATAAAATAATGCCTTCAGATATTAATAATTAGAAATATGTGTTTGGGGACCCCAATGCCATTTGCAATCATTATCTGGTGTCACAATTGGGCAGAATAAAATAAAGTGGAAATGAAGTGACTTTGTGGATAGACCTTAAAGTGACACAAAGCTAGGAGAGGTTGCTGTGACCTGATAGTGGGTAGGAAAGGATTACTATTCAGGTGCTCACCAGCTATCTGACTAAAGGTTTCACTTAACATTAGAGAGAAATGGCACAATTTCCCATGATACATAATTCATAACAGGAGAAAGATGCAAATATGAGGTTTAAATAAATAGGAAAGTACCCAAAACCCAGAACATAGGACACTCTTGAAATAGCCTCCCTGGCACCTTCCTTGAAGGACCTACTTATCCCACCCGCATTGTTCCTGCACGTGCTCTTGTGTTACTATAGTGACCCCATAATGCTGGGTGCAAATTAAAGGGAACCAATACTTCAATGGGACTTAAAAAAGGATTTTATTATGAAATAATTGTAAACTTAAAGAGTTACAAGAATGGGACAAAAAAGTCCCATATGCCCTTTGTATCCTTCATGTAGATTGAGCAGTTGTTATCATTTTGCTACATTTTCTTCCTCTCTCTTGCTCTGCGCGCGCACACACACACACACATTAATTTTTCCTGAACTGTTTTTAAGTTGCAGACATTACATACCTTTATCCTCAAATACTTCAGTGTGAATTTTCTAAGAACAAGGACATTCTTAATTATAGTATGATGCATTGCAAAATGGCTAAATATTCTTCCCATACCTGTATGCATGTCGTTTTATAATATAATTTTGATGCTCTTCCTATCAAGAGAACCGGTCTATTTCTTCAACCCCTGAATCTGAACTTAGCCATGTGACTTGCCTTGGACACAGAATATTAAACGTTGATGTAAGCAGAAACTTGAAAAATGCTTGTGCTTTGGGACTTGCTCTCCCTTGATACTGGGCATGTGTCTGCCACCACGTGAACAAGCCTGTGCTAGGCTGCTAGGGAAAGAGAGACATTTAGCCATCCTCTTTGTCAACATCAAGCCAAGTGTCGTTAGTGTGAGTGAGGTCATCTAGACTATATAATTTCAGCTGAACCCACCCAGAATATAATTACTAGCCAATTCATAGAACCATGAGAAAGAATTAATGTTTGTGGCTTTAAACTATTAAGTTTTAAGGTGGTTTATTTGCACAGCAGAAACTAATCTACAAAGTAAAATGATAAAAATAGGAAATATAACATTAACACAATTTTATTGTCTAATCCATATTCAAAATTTTCCAATTGTCCTAAATATGTTTCTTATATCATTTTTTTCTTCCCAATTCATGTTCCAATCCAGATTTATGCTCTACAATTAGCTGTCACATCTCTTTCATTTCTTTTCATCTGGAACTCTTCCTTAGCCTATTTTTTTTCCTTCATGGATGATATGTTTGGATAGCACAGAGCAATTATTTTGAAGAACGTCTTTTAGTTGGAATTTGTATGATGTTTCTTTATGATTAGATTTAAGTAATGTACTTTTTCTGTAAGAATACTACATAAATGATCCTATGTCCTTCTTAGTGCTTCATATCAGAGTACATGGGATGTTAGTTTGCCTTATTATTGATGGTATTAACTTTGTCATTTCATTAAGGTGGTGTCCACCTCATTTCTCCACTGTAATATTACTGTATTTCCTTTTGCTATTACTAAATAATCTACAGGGAGCTATATTGTCAAAGTAAATATCTTGTTTTAATTCTACTTTCACACAATACTTTTTTAAAGTTTTAGTATGTATTATGCTTTTCAAAAAATTTTATTTTATTGTGGTAAGAACACAACCTGAGATCTACTCTTTTCATAGATTTTTTAAGTGTATCATATAGTCTTGTTCACTATAGGCACAGTATTGTACAGCAGTCCTCTAGAATGTATTCATGTTGAATAGTTGAAACTTTATGCTCAGTGATTAGCAATTCCCCTTTTTTGCCTGGCTGCAGTTGTTGGCAACTACCATTCAATTCTTTGCTTCTATGAGTTTAACTATTTTAGATACCTCATCTAAGTGGAATCATGCACTGTTCGTTCTTCTGTGACTGACTTTTTTCATTTAGCATGATATCCTCAAGGTCCAGCCATGCTGTCCTACACTGCAGGATTTCTCTTCCTTACCAGAACAAATTACTACCGTGGTGTTTGCAAAAGGGCCTCAATGGGATTTTTTGAACATAGGATTTGACAGCATCAAGTAAATCTCTTTGTTTGACTGAATCTATAAGATCAGCAATCAGTGGTAGCAGGTAGATATCACTGGAAAGACTCCCTTTCATGTGGAACAAGCTGGTCAGCAGAGGAAAAAATGAAGCAGAGCTCTACTCCTGAGTCCCGGCTGCATCCTTGCCTTTCCCACATCCAAAGTGTTACAGCTTCTTAGTTCTCAGAGTCAATGAGGTCACCTTTTTGCTTAAAGTTGGGCTTTTGTTACTTGTTATGAAAATAATTGTAACTCTTTACCTAATGGACCACCTATACTTACAAGTACAGCCCATTAAAAGTATACTGCCAATGCAAATATTACTAAGGTAAACAAGATCATGAGTGTGAATTATGAAGATAAGCATGCTACTATGATTCTATGAATAACCTCAAATGGCAAGAGCAATTCAGAAGAATTTTAGAGTCTGATTGTGAAGAAGGATCAACTCTGATCATATATTGCAGGCTGGGATCTCTGGAAGCAGACGCTGAGATGGAGTTTAGCATATCAGTTGTTTTATAGGGGTTTATGCCTATGAAAGGAAAGAAGAGGCAGAATTGGTCTGAGAGAGAACTGTGATTCAGGCCTAACAAGGCCATGGACCACCTTGTCAGTCAGAGAACCCTGTGTCTGGCTAAAATTTCTGGTCCGGCCAGGTATGGTGGCTCACGCTTACAATCCCAGCACTTTGGGAGGCTGAGACAGGAGGATCTCTTGAGCCTAGGAGTTTGAGACCAGCTTGAGCAATATGGTGAAACCCTAACTCTACCAAAAAAAAGAGGCCAAACTCCCCCAAATTAGCTGGGTGTGGTGGTGCACACCTGTAGTCCCAGCTACTCAGGAAGCCTAGGTAAGAGGATCGCTTGAGCCGGGGAGGTGGAGGTTGCAGCGAGCCAAGATCGTGCCACTGCTTACATTCTCACCCTACTTAGTCTAGATATGGATGGCTTGGGAAGGGAATGAGCTCAGGCTAGCTGACTCTGCAGCTGATGCAGACCCTAAAGGAGGTGACAGCTAGAGGCTGTGAGTGTGGGCAATGAGTGTTTCTGGGTGGCTCATCTTTGTGCTTTCCACACTAAAATACTCAAAAAGGGGGTGACAGGTATTTGCATGAGTAAATACATGCTATCTCAGTTAGTTAAAACTAATTGAGTGCATTAATGTAGTGGTATGATTTTTTTCTAAGAAACTGTTATTAAATCTATGGTGCACGTGTAGCCGATGTTATCTTAGAATGGGAAAAATATAGCAATTGAGTTGTTCAATGAAAAGTGGTTATTAACTTGTTTGAAAATTTTCAGTCACATTTCATTTATTTCAGAGATAATAAAGGAACTTAGAAAACTTGACTTTTAAAAGAGTTACTTCTCATTTAAAGATAGTACAAAAACTAAAATAGTCATTTTGATATTTTGATACCAAGGTTGCTGTGGATTTATTTAGAAGAACAAGTTGAATAATACCTTACAGAGAGGCAGAAAGCATGCAAGAAGAACAAGATAAATAATGGAAAATAAAAAGTTTTTTTTGTGTTTTTTTTTCCCATTGGTAAGGAAGCTAGGGCAGCCCAATAGATCATGACGACAAGTGAGCGGTGATATTCTTGGAATGGCTATCCCCACAATTCAAGTGACTGGCCTTAGTCCAGGTCTTTATTTCTAGGTCTTAAAAATGATATGTGTCGGAGCATCACCAAAGGTTTTTTTTTTTATTGGAAATTGCTATAACTAAGGACAGATATGATTGGAATTTGGAAGGCAGCATTTATCATTGCTAAATTGGATTGCTTATATTTATAGTTCTTTCAAAAGTACCAAACGTGGAAGGCTCCACTTGCAACAATTCTATAATATTGTATGTTAGCTTAAAAAATATGAGAATAAGGTACTTTTGAGACTTGATATTATAAATACAGTTTGGAAAATATACATCATACCTTAAAACCTGAAACCAGAAGTCTAATCAATTCAGGCCATTCAGTGGCATTTATCTAGGAATGTATACTGAACACAGGCATTTTGAAGATCAAATAGCTACAATAAAAACAACCCAAACAATCCAAACTACAGTCTAGCAAACTATGACCAGTAAGAACAAAATTGTAAAATTTCTGTAAATGTTATCATCTGAGTAAATATATATTATAAATTCTACATATGTAGAATAAAGACTAAAAGCCAATTTTTTTTTCTACAAAACTAGGTTTATAGAATGTTGCAGTAAGGTGTGGGCTTAGACAATAAAACTATTTTCCCTTTAAAAAATAAATATTTTAAACTGCACGGCTGCCTGAAACTTCAGATAGCTATGGAATTATCCCCCAAATGTGTAAAATAATAAATTATAAACTATCATCAGAGCCTATATATTTGTATTAACCAGCAATATTACTTATGAAAGTAATGATTGGGCCGCCTATGAAAGGAAAAATAAAAAAATACAAGTGAGTACTTGGAACTGTTTTCTAACCTTATGCCATATTGTATTTTGTCAAAGTAATCTCCAAGATACATAAAATAAAGATATTTTTGAGAGATAAGTCTGGGGCTAGAATTGCCAAATATGCATTTAAAAAGTGTTAAATAGTTTTTTAAAGATCACTTTTAACATACAATCCAGAAAATGAGCAGTTTCTATGATATTGAGCACCATTAATTGAAATGTTTGTGCCTTTGCTTTGATACATCTGCCTCACAGATGATTCAGAAGCTTTTTTGATTAAATAATCTATGCTTCTAAGTTGAAAAACACATAGGGAGAGTATTTACTTTGACTTAGTTTGGTAGCATGGTGGTGTACATAGAATATTGTACTGTGTATTAGGATAATCAGGTCCAGATATTGAGTCATCAGACAGTTTACTGCTATTATAAATTGCAATATTTATGAAAACAATAATAAACACAATAATGGTAACAGCATCGATGATGTCAAGACTAAAATTTAAAATTCCAAAAGAAATAATTACAATACATAAAGTGGTTTAGAACTCTTAAGAACTGATTTTTAAAAATCTTGCGCAATAGACCAAACATTTTATTTTCCTAAACTAATAATATAAAGGAGCCTAAGCTGATAACTGTTTTACTAACTAGAAATATCTCAATAACAGAGAGGAACAAAATTACTGTAGCCTGTGTGTTTGACAAGATTTGATGAGGGATGGAAATGGAAGAACATCAAAATAGAGGTAGTTATCATGCTGAGTGGAGTAGTTCCAGAATGGCTAATGAGAAATCTTACATACCTGCAGAATCTATCCCACTTAGGCATCAGTTTAAAAGTTATCACTTTCTACTACTTCTAATACATAAGAAGAATATTTCTAACTCCAGTACAAGATATTATAATGTATTTGGCTAGCACTGTTAAATTGACTTGAGAACAGATTTATCTGAACTGTGAAAGCAAATAAAATGATAAATCCAGGGCAAGAAATATCAAAATATTTCTTTAAAATAAACAAAAGAAATATCTCTGAGATTACTTCTCATGAGAAATTGACTGCAGAGGTAATTTCTACAAACTGAAGATATATAGAAGAACAATTTGGAAGGTTCCCAAATGTCACTGAAACAATATGGCCTTGAGAAGAGATAAATTGGACAGATGGAATCATGCAAATGTCACCTATTGGAAATATGAACAGGAGGTGACTGATGTAATAAAAGCAGCTTGTAACCAGAAAGCTCAGGACCTGACTTATTGCAGATTTCTGGTACAAGAAGTTCATGACAACACTTGGAGTTGTTGCAGGATATATCGTGAGTAAATCAGAATAATACTGGATTTAATAAGACACAGAAACGAGTAACAACTGCAAATAACAGTATTTTGAAGTCAGTAGAATTTACATCAGTAACATTTTACCTGCTTTCTATAAGCTATTGGCATGAGTTTTGTTATAGATTTGTCCCGTTGGGAGAGAAATATCTCCACTGATGAGCTTAAAGGATTTTACAAATTACCGAAGGACTAAAAAATTAAACTCTTATAGAATGTATCTGTCGCCTCCAGGTACCTCATGTTCCAGTCACCCACTACCCTAATGCATACCTTTACTTTTCCAAGTTACATATCTTTGCTAATGCTTTTTGCTTTTCATGGCATCCCTACTTCCCCATTTTTACATATCCCAATCTCACCTTCAAATACCACTTGCTTCATGAAGCCATTTCTGATCCTCTCAGTGAGATACCTTCTCTTCCTTGTCTGAACTCTACAGTCATAACTCATGTATGGCTTTTTTGCTTTTGACCTCATATTATAGCTAGTTATATTCTTATATTATTTCCTTATTAAATATAAATTCCTCAAGGGAAGAGTTTAATCAGAATGATTTTCTCTACAGCAGCTAACACAGTATCTTGTATATACAGTAAGCATTTGTTAAATGAACAAACAAATCATAGCCTAATTTCCAAACAGTTAATAAACTAAGAAATATGATTGCGTCTACTTGTGATTCTTCTAGTTATTTACAGGTTTCATAAAGGTACAGGCAGTCCCTGCCCTTTGTTACTTTATAATAAGTTGTGCTATCCATGTAGCACATGGTAGCTAATTAATACTATCTAATAAATAATTACTATTAATAATTAGTAATTGATATTACTACTAATAATTACTATTAATTAGGTAGTATTAATTGATGCAGCTTAATTAATACTTGTGCCTCCATTCTGAAGTTCATTTGTTCTTTTATTATCTCAGCCTATGCAAATATGTATTAGGGTACTAAGTTGTGCTTTTTTTTAAAAAAAAGTTATGTTTTTAGAGCTTTGTTATATATTTTAAAGCAGTTTACAATTTAGATACTTTGAGTCAAATAGGACATGCAGAAATATTTGTGTGACTTGCATATTATTTTTAAAACATTAAATAATTGTCAACATCTTAATATTATAATAAGAATTAACATTAAAAACACTAGATTCCTGCCTTCTCTTGAAAAATTAGATTTGGTAATACTATGTCCCTATTTTTCAGGACAACAATTTGCTGGATTCAAATAGTGCCAGCCCCTTTAGGCATGGAATGTTCTCTGGTTTTGGACAGTTCCACCAGGCCCTTTTTCTTATATGTTTCTCACCTGGTCATTTTAGACCCTTGAGTTTATTATTCTTATTTTAATGTTCCTTTTGAAAAGGGATATAGCAGAGACCTTAGCTCTCCATTAAAATCAGTTTCTTTGTCCTGGATCTGAAGCTAGACTATGTTTTTCTAGCTGTCCATGCAGTTGAGTTTGGCCAGGAGATTGAGTTCTAGCCAATGAATGGAGTAGAAGCAATACTTATTACTTTTCAGGCTACCCCATGCAAACTTCCATGCAGACTTCTCCACTGTCTTTTTCCTTCTGATAGCTGGATGCTAATGAACATAAGGGCCCATGTACCTGGCAGAGCCACGAATGGAAGGAGTCTGATTCTTCAATGACCCTGACTGTAGAAGAGCTGACCTACTGACTGTTATGCTTCCTGTTATGTGAGCAAAATGTATACAACTATGGTAAAACTTTATTTAGGTCTCTTTATTATGGCAGTTAGCCTACCCTAAATAATCCAGAGTGCTAATGACCTGGTAATTGTTGATGGCAGTCCTGTATGAAGGTACCTGATTCTTGGTAACAAATAAGAAGGTAGAAGAAGACTGAGAATGGATGACTTATTTTTCCTGGCGGCACCATTGGTTTTGTTATATAGAGCTACATTTGAAGTTTTGGATTCAATTCAGTACACAATTAAGAAGTGTCTGGTGTGCAGGGCCTTGTAAATAAATTTCAGTAGTAGGAAGGGGTGAAGGAAAGAAATGTTGGGTCATCCTTGACTTTTAAAATGCTTTCTACGCAGAGAAGCCCTATCATTAGCATCAACAACGATCCTCTACTGACCTCCGGGCTTAATGCTTCGAGTTCGTCTCCAAGGTCAGTAGAATGATTTTGAATTTCTCTACTAGCTTTATTGGAATTTGTTAAGAGAAAAAGAACCCCAGTTTCAACTCACTTGTGCAGCTTCTTCAAAGGGCCCTGGGCTAACCAAACCAGCTCACTTTTCTCTTTATAAATTACAAAGTTGCAAGCAACAATAATTTAAATTAAATATTTAATGTGTATTATCATCTGCATATTAGTTTAAGGTTAATTTGAAGCTATAAACCTAGTTATATGTAGCATGATTTAGAATTAAATATGTATATGCTAATAGTATACTGGAGAATATTATACCTGTTTATAAGATTTGAAGCATGATTTTCATTGACTGGAGACTAGTTTCTACAATCATTCTGTCTTTGAAGTCTTCATCAGGGCAGGTCTCTGTGGGGAGAAGCCTAGAAATTTCTAGCTGCTCTGCTTGCTATTGGGTGGATAACTTCAATTTTGGAGATAAGGACAAGGAAGTTGATCAATTTTGAACTTTTATGTGCTGTCCATGGCTGTAATATACTCAATGGCCTACACCTCCCACTTATTATGTTGTTTTTATAGTTTGCTCAATGGCAACCCACTTTATGACATGATTTTCAGAAACACATTGCAATAAAAGTAGAAAATATTCAACATCTTTTAAATGTGGAGTTTGGGTAGAAATGTTTTATATCTGTCAAATTGAGAGCCATCCTGTCACTGAATGCATTATGTGGAACTTATTAAATAACAATGGCTTTACAGGTGAATGGTATTTTAGAGCCCTGAAATGTTAGAAATCAAAATAGTCCTTTGACTTTCAGTGTGTCTACCCAACTTACCTTCTTTGGAATTTTCCCCACATTTTCTCCTGAAGAAGTAGACCTAGGCTCGAGTAACCTTACCCTTTTGGCTATAACTGGAGTAACTGTCCACAACAGGGATGGACAGTTGATTTAAACTGAACCAGTTAAATTATCTCACTTTCCTTTGTTTGAATTAAGAGCTGTAGAGACTGAATTGGACAGCTGGAGGCCCCAGACTGTTGTTAGGGAATGAATGAATCAAGTAATTATGCTAAAGAAAAAGATTCAGGACTTCAGTGGTACCAAAATATCAGCTTTGCTATTAGTAAATGTGAGTTGGAAAATCACCTGGACTCAGGACCAAAATTGGCTGGCTTCTTACCTCTTACCTCCGTAGTTGAAGTTTTCTTCTAGTAGCAGAAAGAACAGATATAATTTCACAGACCTCCCCTTATCCACTCCTGCTGAAAGCAAGACCTGCCAGGATAAGCATTCTGTACAGCGATCATACCACCCTGGTGGAGAAAGAATACCCAAGGTGTATAGGAAGGGCAGGCCCCAAAAGAAAGAGAATCAACAAAAGCCTGGATTCTATATGTCCAAAGATGCTCTTCTCAGCCTCACCAGTCAGATAGATCCTGTTCAGGGAAGGAAGTGTAGGAAGAGGGTAAAGAGAAGATACACTTCCTTCCCAATACTCTTGAAACAGGGAAAATGTCCAGTTTTATGGGCCAAAGCAGGAGTCTGGGGCTGGCGAGAGGCTTATTTTCTCCATATTGTCTTGGAACCAGTGTTGTAAGACAATGTTATGGGGGAATAGGAATTAGGAGTCTGTAAAGAGAAATAATATGGGCAGAGGAGGGGAGATATCAAACAGTTGGCAGAAAATGAGGAAAAAGTAGCTACCTGACATTTCTATCCCCATGAGGCTTGCCCCTTCTTCTTAGTATGGGTTCTGTGAGAGTCCCCCAACTCTTTATAACAAACTTCTATTACTTAACTTGGATGAAAACTCTCCTCTTTAACCAAGCCATCCCTAAGACACTAACTAACCTTTACTAAAACTTTATTATGTGCTCAACACTGTGTTATGTACCCGATAATCTTGAGTTAATTTGGTGAAAGGCTGATTTGTTGTAATGAATGTAATTAAAGATTTGATATTTAAAAGGTTTAGCATTTTAATAGCCCCCTTTGCCCCAATATAGACTCCCAGAAATTGCACAGAATGTGATAAGGAGCACTTAGTAAAATCTTCTCTCGAACACTAGTTCATGTGTGGAGAATTATTAAACGCTTTCTTTAGATAAGATATAATTCCCCAGAATTGCTGTGAATACATTTGTCATAGTTCTAACGTTTATTTGACATTATAAAATGGTCAAGTACAGACAAAAAGATCATGATATTAGGTTTAGCCATATGACATTTTCATTTTTTTAATAGGTCAAAATAGTCGAATATTGGTAATTTCATATGCATCAACTTCATTAAGCACCATAATAGTGTTAATGGCTTTGTGTATCTGAGAGATGAGGGCTTCTTCATGCAGAGTTTGGAGTCTAGTCTAAGTTTTAGTTTAGAGTCTAGTCTAGACTAAAGCATACAGAAGTGGTGCCCAAACCCCAGTTAAAACTTTGCACAGTTTGTCTGTGCAAAATGAGAGAAATAATGACAGTATAAAGGATTTTTTCAACAGTTAAATGTCTTCAATTTTAAAATCCTGATATTATGGGATTTGGGCTGATAAAATATATATTTCTTTGTAAAGTGATGTTATAGTAGATGGTACTTTTAAAATCTACTCACTCAAAAATAAAAACCAGTGGAAAGTGTATATCAGCCTTCAAATTTGTTCTTGAATTTTTACTAATCTGTAAAATACAAATGTTTAGGAACCACCCAAGGGTACATAAAATAGCTAGAAGCAGTACAACACAAATGTAGGCAAGTAGGGAAAATCAAAGGTTGTGCAGGCCACTCGTTCATCATGAATTTTTAGTTTTTTTTATTTTTATTTATTCATGAAATATAGAACACCAAAGGTTATTTCTTGCTACCCTTAGGGGCAGAGGGTCTTCGGTGCCTGGGGTCTTCTTTTCTGCTGTCACCTGTATTTCTCCTTTGCTGGATGTACAGGCATAACTTTTTCTTGCAATCCATTGGTGGGGAGGTAACATCCTTCCAGTTCCTTCTCTTCCAAAGCCTGAGCAAGATGATTACAGAGAAGTTACTACTCTGTATCTGACCCTCCCCTCCCCGCTTCTTCCCCAGCCC
This sequence comes from Homo sapiens, assembly GCF_000001405.40. Lineage (NCBI taxonomy): Eukaryota > Metazoa > Chordata > Mammalia > Primates > Hominidae > Homo > Homo sapiens. Next base: position 72,184,410 of record NC_000012.12, read on the forward strand.
AAGCACATGTTTAATTACTGCAGAGGTTTCTGATGTTTTTTAATGGGGCATCTTGAGGGTCTCAAAATACCAGAACTAATCAAGAAGAAGAGATGAAGGTTTTAACTCTCTTCCTTTCTCTCTTATAGTATGGAAAGGAAGAACCTTCCTTTAATTGTCTTCAGAAAATCCTCTCTCCCCTGAATGACTTCTCTTTCCTTGATATTTTTCTGTCTTCTTTCCTGTTCCCTGTTTTTTTCCCTACTCCTCCTCCCTCATAGAATGCAATTTCTATTCCCCTTACCTGCAATTTCTTCTTGTGTCTTAAGAGCTTCAGGCCTTGACTGTATCTGATTTGGAGGTGAAGGGTATGGCTTTTTGCCCCATTCTTTAGGGAAAACTAAGATTTTCCAAATCTGGTTCAGTCTGCCCTCCAGCAGTTGTTATGGTTGATTTCCTCAGTAATTTTGAGAGGTGACAGCGTGCTGGCAGTCCTCAGAGCCCTCGCTTGCTCTTGGCACCTCCCCTGCCTGGGCTCCCACTTTGGCGGCATCTGAAGAGCCCTTCAGCCCCCCCACTGCACTGTGGGAGCCCCTTTCTGGGCTGGCCAAGGCTGGAGCCCACTCCCTCAGCTTGCAGGGAGGTCTGGAGGGAGAGGCTTGAGCGGGAACCGGGGCTGCCTGCGGCGCTTGCGGGCCAGCTGGAGTTCTGGGTGGGCGTGGGCTTGGCGGGCCCGCACTCGCACTCGGAGCAGCCGGCCAGCCCTGCTGGCCCCGGGCAATGAGGGACTTAGCACCCGGGCCAGTGGCTCCGGAGGGTGTACTGGGTCCCCCAGCAGTGCCGGCCCACCGGGGCTGTGCTCGATTTCTCGCCGGGCCTTAGCTGGCTTCCCGCGGGGCAGGGCTGGGGACCTGCAGCCCGCCATGCCTGAACCTCCCACCCACTCCATGGGCTCCTGTGCCGCCCTAGCCTCCCCGACGAGCACCACCCCCTGCTCCACGGCGCCCAGTCCCATCCACCACCCAAGGGCTGAGGAATGCGAGCGCACGGCGCAGGACTGGCAGGCAGCTCCACCTGCAGCCCCTGTGCGGGATCCACTAGGTGAAGCCAGCTGGGCTCCTGAGTCTGGTGGGGACGTGGAGAGTCTTTACGTCTAGCTCAGGGATTGTAAATACACCAATCAGCACCCTGTGTTTAGCTCAAGGTTTGTGAGTGCACCAATCTACACTGTATCTAGCTGCTCTGGTGGGGCCTTGGAGAACCTTTATGTCTAGCTCAGGGATTGTAAATACACCAATCAGCACATTGTGAGTGCACCAATGGACACTCTGTATCTAGCTGCTCTGGTAGGGCCTTGGAGAACCTTTATGTCTAGCTCAGGGATTGTAAATACACCACTCGGCACTCTGTATCTAGCTCAAGGTTTGTAAATACACCAATCAGCACCCTGTGTTTAGCTCAAGGTTTGTGAATGCACCACTCTGTATCTAGCTGCTCTGGTGGGGCCTTGGAGAACCTGTGTGTGGAAACTCTGTATCTAACTAATCTGATGGGGACGTGGAGAACCTTTGTATCTAGCTCAGGGATTGTAAAAGCACCAATCAGCCTGACAAAACAGGCCACTCAGCTCTACCAATCAGCAGGATGTGGGTGGGGCCAGATAAGAGAATAAAAGTAGGCTGCCGGAGCCAGCATTGACAACCAGTTGGGGTCCCCTTCCACATTGTGGAAGCTTTGTTCTTTCGCTCTTTGCAATAAATCTTGCTAGTGCTCACTCTTTGGGTCCATGCTGCTTTTATGAACTGTAACACTTGCCGCGAAGATCTGCAGCTTCACTCCTGAGCCCAGCGAGACCACGAGCCCACCGGGAGGAACGCACAACTCCAGACGCGCTGCCTTAAGAGCTGTAACACTCACAGCGAAGGTCTGCAGCTTCACTCCTGAGCCCAGCGAGACCACGAGGCCACCAGGAGGAACGAACAACTCCAGACGCGCTGCCTTAAGAGCTGTAACACTCACCGCAAAGGTCTGCAGCTTCACTCCTGAGCCAGCGAGACCACGAACCCACCAGAAGGAAGAAACTCCAAACACATCTGAACATCAGAAGGGGCAGACTCCAGACGCGCCACCTTAAGAGCTGTATAACACTCACCGCGAGGGTCCGCGGCTTCATTCTTGAAGTCAGTGAGACCAAGAACCCACCAATTCCGGACACAATTTCACTGAAGAAGCAAGGTAAGGATTTTTTTTTTTTTCATAGACAACACAGTATTATCTGAAAGTAGTAAAGTATTTCTTCTATTAATGTAATTTGACATTGCCCATTGCCAAACAACATCAGCAAATAGAATTATTTTACTAAAAAGATTTTGACTTTTTATTAGACATGGATCTTTTTTTTTTTAAGTCCTACTACTGCAGTTGTAAGTGGCTCTCCTTTATTGGCGTGGGGGGTAGCACTAGTTCCAATTAGATTCCATTAGATTTTTAAGTCTCCTGGCTGATAGGAAGTAGGATAAAGAGTCTGTGTTGCCAGCTTATCTTATCAATTAGATGATAGAAACTATCATGGTGGAAGAGAGAAGGATGAGGCATATGACCAGGTGTTCAGAAGCTCACAGTTTAGATGGAACTGTACTCTTACCAATATTTATATCATCATGTACTAAGTAGTACACTAGCCTAGAAACAGAATTTTGACATTCAGTACAAGAAGTACTTGATATTGAGGCAACTTTAAAAAGTCATATAGGATTAATTCATAATGGTTCATGAAGTGTTTTCCTTCTTATTTCATTTGATCCTTGTGATTATGTTATGAAGTAGATATTGTTACCTTATTTTACGGATAATAAAAGCTCAGCAAGCTGAAATAACTTGGTTAAGGTCATGTAGTGTACTAGGGTTCTTCAGAGAAACACAACACACACACACACACACACACACACACACACACACACACACACACACACACGAAGTCTCTATTTGCCATTTGCAAGCTGGAGTACCAAGAAAGCTAATGGTGTAATTCAGTCTGACTGAGGCCCGAGGTGGGGGGGGTGGTGGTGGTGGTGGTGGTGGTTGTGGTCGTGGTGGTGGTGGTGGTGGTGGTGGTGGTGGAGGAGGAGGAGGAGGAGGAGGAGGAGGATGGGGCATGATGTATCAGTCCCAGTTCAAGTCTGAAGGCCCAAGAATCAGGAACACTGATGTCCTAGCTCAAATGGGGTGAGAGATGTAAATTTGCCCTTCCTCTACCTATCTTCTCTAGTCAGTATACTGATGCAAATGTTCATCATTTCTGGAAACACCCTCACAGAAACACCCCAAAATAATGTTTTACCAGCTATCTGGGCATCTTTTAGCTCAGTCAAGTTGACACATAAGATTAAACATCACATCCAACTTCTGAGAGGCAGAACTGGGATTTACATTGTAATTGAAAGATATGTACTGCCTCTGACTGTTGTGAACTGCATTACCAGATTAAATGTAGCTAAGATTATATATTAACAGGTTGTCTTTAAGTTTAAACAAACAGTTTAGGGGTCTATTATACACATTAAACCAAGGAAGTAATATGAAATAATTAATATGAAAATATGGGATAATATAACCATAGCAAACAGATGAAAACTCTGGCCAAAAGGACATATGTGTTAATGTTTGATAAACTTAATTAACAGTGATAATTCCTGATATTGCTCTTCAACAAAGCAACCATATAGAGAATTTACACAGCAATGACATATATTGTTGACATATGAGTCAGAGGAATTGCTAAAACAAATGTGGAGATGGAGCAAATTAAAGTTATTATGATTTGGGGGATAGAGATTTAGTAATCAGTAGTTCCAAGTCTTGAGCAAGATGAAATTCATTATAGTTGTGAGTAAACTCTTTCAATTGCATTGGCATTTGGAATAAAACTAGACTGATTTTCAGTTCTTTTAAATAGGTAAAGTCATTGTGAAAATGTATCTCTAAAACAATTGGCATCAAATCAGAAAATAGTGTTTTTGTATCTCAGCTATCAAGATCTGTTTCAGACCAAATTATTTATTGCCTACTTTTCTGTATGCTCCCAACCCTGTACCAAGTAGAGTTGGGATAGTAACAGTAAATTTAAATGCCTTCAAGAGCACTGTAGGCTACATTAATGGGAGAGAGTGGCCGGGTTTCAGCAGACTATTGGGCCCTCTGGTGAATTAGCTTGTGAACTCATCTACAGAGGCAGCCTTAGCTCCTGCTGATGTTGCTGTGTGAAAATGTGGGCCTAGTGTTGCCACATCATCCAGTCTTTCAAGAAATGCCAAGAAATCTGATTTTTTTTGTATATGTGAAAGACTTTAAAAAAAATCAGAATAAATTAAGCATTTTGGAAAAGACTTAGGGAAGGGGAAGGCATGCCTATGGCTAACCTTTGCCTTGCATATTAACAGTTGCATACTTCTGAAGTTTAGCCTTCTTCCTTTTCCTTGTGTCTTTGGTACCCACCTACCCAGCTGCAAGAATCTTCCCCATCCACATGCTTACCCCATGAGGGTCAGGAGAAAGGCCTTTGGAGACAGACCTGCCATTTAAGCAACTTATTTTTATTCCTACTCATTTTCTGTCCTCTCAGAAATGAGGATAATAAAATGCATATTCACTTAGCTGCCCTAAAATCTTGGTAGGCAGGAAAAGAAAGAATGAATAAATGAAGTAACATCTGCAATTGCCTGTAATAAAAAAGATTCTTTTTTGCTTCAGTGCAATGATTGTCAGTAAATATTACAGAGTGAAGAAATCTGATCAACTAATTTTTACTAAGGTATAAATGATTGATAACAGCTTAATACTATATTCAACTCAGGGGTATACATCACTCATATTCAAGAATGTGCTTTAATTTTAAATAGTAGGATTTCAAACCTTACAGGTAAATGGGTATTCTGAGGGAAGAATGGTGGACATTATGGATAGAGGCTTTTCTATTCAGAGAAAACACCCTCTCACTGTCATATCTTGAGTAATACCAACCCTCCAACTTTCCTGCTTCTCTGTATATGCAGACTCTTGAATATTTTACCATCCCAAAGGAAAACAGGAAGAACTACTTTAGTGTTATTATAATAGCAGGACCTGCTAAACAGGCAGTAACATGTACCCTAGATGTCCTGGTATGAAACGTGTAACTTGAGATTGGAAGAAAAATTTAAAGAAAAATGTAGGGGCTAGTTACCTTGGTGAAATTTCTGAGAGACCAGTGATTTGGGATATGAAGGGATATTCCCTCCAAATGCCTCGAAGAAGGAGGCATAATGCTTAGGGGGTCGCTTTGGACTTTGGAGGCAACATATCCCACATTTGGGAATCTTCTCTGACCTATTTATGGAGGGAACCCATAAAGCTATCAGTTTTGGGTGAGAGTGGGAGTAAGAGAAGATACTGCAGCTGGTCAAAGCTTCAGTGCAAAGCTCTGCCACTTAGTCCTATGAGCCTGCAGATCCAGTGGTGCTTGAAGTGTCTGTGGTTTGGGATGTCCTATGTAGCTTCCAGCAGACACCTTTAGGAATCCCACCCACCTACCCGAATAGGTACTACACGCATCCAAACAAGTAGTATTCGGAAGTAAAAAATAGTCTACCCTTGAGAAACTGCTCTTGGCTTGCTACTGGGGCCCACTGAAAGTCTGACCACGTAAACTTAGTCTCCAATAATGACCAGAGTGTTTTTTGCCTCACCAGGCATTAATATCAAGTCTGTCTAGCAGCACTCCATCATCAGGTAGAAATGGCATCTATATGATCACTAATAAATTGTAAAAGCAGGTGACTCACATTTCCAAAATACCTACTCCTGTTGCAGTGTTACCTCGCCATCAACCCACCTGTGGCCTCATGAAGCGTTTTCTATAACCAGCTGAGAAAGAAAAAGTTCAAGTCTGGCTTACATGGAGCCCTGCCTGGTAATTGGGCAGTGCACAGATGCCCTGCTGTAGCATTTTAACCCAGGGAGGAGGTGTGCCTAGAGCATAATGGGGAAAGAAGATTCTTTTAGCAGGTGGAAATTTGAATGGTATAAGTGATTTTCCATTTTGTCTGAATGGTCAGAATCATGGCTCAGTACCAATTCATGGAAAGAAGCTAAGGAATTCAGGAATTTTGGAAAGACAATGGTTGGAAGATTGGTGGTAAGTAAGTATGGGGAAGAAATATGTGAATAGACTTCTAATAATGGGCTCAGAATGTAAAATTGTTTGTATCCATGTGAATATTTACCAAATTTCCTCCTCTGTAGAGATCTTCTGTAACCTTGTGGACAAAACAACTTTTCCTATAGATGCCATTATATCTTTCCTGGCCACACCAGGATCAGTGGCTAATGAACAAAGTGACCGTGGTGGCAGGGATGAAAGTAATGCATGGACTCCAAAACAGTTCTTTTCACCAAGATGGATCAGGCTATTGCCCTGCTCATTGTGCAATTTGCACCATACTATATAAAAATTTGGAAGCCACCTTAATGGTAGGTCAATTAAATAAGCCCTTTGTGTTGTAGAAAGGGCAGCAACTTGTCACTGAAATAGTTACTCATTCTGGATTTGATTTTGCTTTCCCTGCTGCCATATTTCTGCATGCACTATAACCTGTAGACTTGCTGAATGTTTTTACCTCTCCTATAGTATTCTATACAACATTGAGCCAGAATAAATAACTTATTTTGAAAAAAAGTAAGACAGTGGTTGGACATTCATGGAACACACTGGTCTTACCATGTACTATGTCACTTACAGACAAAAACCTTTATAGAATTCTTAGTGGGCTCTATTGAATACTGGTTAGTGGAGATCGTGGCAGAAGTGATTTGATTCTGGAACTGGGAGCTGTTGCAGTGGCTTCCTGATCCTACAGCCAGCTTCTTCTTTCTATAGTTGTCTTATTGTATCAGGGACAGCAGCTCTCATAGCATCTCCTAGAATGAGACTTTGGGCATCACTCCATGAATCTCAGACCACCTTCAGTTTCCACAGCCCTTCTAAAGACTGTCATTTAATAATCCCCTGTAAAAATTTCCATGTTTGTTTCAGTTAGTAACTATGGATTTTGTTTTTTCTTTCTGAACCCTGACTGATATAGGCAGGAAAATCTTTCCTAATATCCTAAAATTCTGCAGACAACTGTTTACATACGAGTAAAGGTAATTTTAACCAGGGTCTTTTAACATGTGGAAATTTGAGAACGTTTCAACTGTAACTGATTATAATGTACCCTTAAAATATTTTATTGTCGTTGTAATACTCAGAAACAGAGTATAGATATTAGTCCTTTGAGAGTTTAAGTAAAAAAATGTAAAGGTAAACTAGCAATAATAAAAAATGTTTAGAGATGTCAACATGGTATTTTGTGATTCATGGAATGTGCTACAGAATAAAAGTGTAAACAAGCCTTAATATAATACAAAAATTATGCCTATTCATTATTTTTTAAAATCAGTGACTGAAATACTTTCCGAAAACAGAATCCTCCCACTGAAGTTGAGCAGTAGTATAAACATAAGTAAAAGCTGTCTGCCTAAAAGTCTCTAAATAGAAGCTTTTCTGGGCTAGCTTTGTAGATTGGAAATTTTGGGGGAATTTCAAAACACAAGGTCTGTACTTTCCAGATCTCACTTTGTGCATCTGCTGACCTCCTTTCCTCATCATTATTATCAAATGCTATAAGTTTATAGTGACTACTTATAAATGACTTTTGTAAAACTTCTTAGTGATTTTATGTAATATTAGAGGAGATTAGTTCAGGGTCTGCGTGAACCTGGAGGACCTATTATTTATATTAGTGCTTCTGAAACTGGGGACTCACTCAGCAGGTTGGAGTGGATCTTGAATTTCTGCATTTCTATCAAGGTCCCAAGTGATATCGATGCTTCTGGTGTTCAGATCACACTTTGAATAAGAAGCAATTTTAAGCCGAAGTTTAAAATAGAAATCAATTAATTGTCTTGCCCTTTTAAGACAGCAACAATAATTTGATTGATTTACTCTTATAATTAAGAGAAATTATTTGGATACTGCATCTAACCGAGACCCAATGCCAACTCAGGATAAGTATTTACAAAAGTCGAAAGAAGGCAGAGAATTTAAGGCTGTGATTGAAAGCACTGACAGAGTTTGAACTCTGGCTTAACTCTGAGGTGTTTCTTTCTACATTACAAAGCAGAATCTGCTTTATAGTGTGAACTTTGGAGTTAGCAAGACCTGGATTTGAAGCCTGGATCTAAATTTTTTGTTGTTGTGGTATGAACTTAAGTTTTTTTTTAAAAATCTCCTAACCTTTGTTCCCTGATCTGAGTGTCACAGAGTTGCTGTTACGTTAAAAGGGACAACACAAGTAAAATGCTTGAGTGCTGTATATAGTAAGTGCTCAGATATTACCTATTTTGCTAGTTGTTATCTTCAATAAGCAAATGAGTCTAGATCCAATTTGTAATTTTTATTGGAGTAAGAAGTCTTGACCAAAAATCTATTAGCTGTAGCCAGTGAGTGAGGTGGTTTTGTGAATATTAGTTTATCACCATCATCATCATCGTATCATTATCAAATAAGAAGCTGATAATTGCACATAAAATACTTTATCTGAAAGAAATTATGTTTATAAAAATTGGATAAATTTTATTTTCAGATTCTTGTAATTGGAAATTGTCTCATTTAAAATTTTTGGCTGGGATCAAATAAAATTTTTGGCTAGTATCAGTATACAAAATTTTGCCATTGTTACAAACATATAAAGAAAAAAAAGTTTGTCTTTATAAAGATTTAGCTGTGTAGTCACCCTAAAGCCTCTGATGAATTCCATAAACATACAGATTAATATTTCATATGTATTCAGCATGTTCCATTTCAGCCTCAAAAAGTTTTTTTTTTTCCAAATGAGGAGGCATTTGTGCAGTTGTTTGCATCTGTAGAACCCCTAACACTGTATTTATGTAAAATTACACTTCAGGATAATTGCCTATGTAATTAGCATTCAGGAAGAAATTATTTATTCAGTAGCACATTTCACAATTCAATTTCAGTCTGTGACAAAGAGGCTTTTTAAATGTTAATCTTATGAAAGAAAATGGAGCAAATAGTAAAGCCTGTGGATTAATACAAGAGGCAGCTATTTACAGCATAACATTCTCCCTCACTGGGAATTACCTATTTTCTACCAGACAGTCTAGGCTTGTTTCAAACTTCACCGGGAAGTAGGGGGTTGAATCTTGTGTTTTGTGCATGTTAGATGGTTTCACATCAGGTGACCAAATAAAAGAGCAAAATGATTACCAATAATTTTGGTGTTGAAACTTTAAAAGAGACAGAAAGAATAAATACACAGTATGGTGGAGTTTAAAAAATGAAAAAAATAAAGAGATATGTTTTCTCAGTCTCCATTCTATGGAAATTTTCCATTTTGGATAATAATTTTTTCAAAATTCATGAACAGGATCCACACTTCCCTTCCATCAGCTAGCTAGTTTTTTCAGTAGCTTACATGTAACATCTCTTGAAAAACACAGGAACTATTCCTGTCACATACCTATGATTGTGGAAACTGGTGGAAGTATGAGGGAGATAAGAGTAATTAAAAATATTGTCATCTATTATTTGCATTTTTTAATGATTCCTGAATATCATGTTAAAATAAGGTTAAATAATTTGATAAACACCCAACAGAACATAATAACTTTTGGGAAAGTAATTTTCTAGCCATACATGTGATAGGAGATTAAAACTTTCTTTCTCTTTAATTACTCTGAGATAGAATTTAAGAGTTTGAATTTATTTAAAAGTAAATGTATAAATACCCATTTAGAAAGATTATTGATGTTGATACACAGAATGAGATAACATATATTTTTGTTTAATCATAAAATAAAACTTTGTTGTCATTGTCACTACCTTAGTCTACATTACCAAGACCTCTCATTTGTACTATTGCACCAGCCTTCTTATGGAGGTCCTTGTTTTTACACTTGCCCAATTGCCTGTAGAGCACCCAGAATGAACTTAAAAACAATTCGACTTTTATTTTAGATTTGGGGGGTACATGTGGAGGTTTGTTACCTGGGTGATGCTGAGGTTTGGGGTACTGAGCATGATACCCAATAGTTTTTCAAATCTTTCCCCCCTCCTTTCCCCTGCTAGTAGTCCTGTTGTTGCCATCTTTATGTCCATGAGTACCCATTGTTTAGCTCCCACTTGTAAGTGACAACATGCAGTAGTTGGCTTTCTGTTCCTGTGTTAATTTACTTAGGATAATAGCCTCCAGCTGAATCCACATTGCTGCGAAGGACATGATTCCATTCCTTTTTATGACTACATAGTATTCCATAATGTATATGTACCACGTTTTCTTTATACAGTCCACCATTGATGGGTGTTTAGATTGACTCTATGTCTTTGCTATTGTGAATAGTGCTGCTACGAGTGGATGTGTCTTTTTGGTAGAACAATTTATTTTCTTTTGGATACATACCCAGTAATGGCATTACTAGGTGTATTAAACTGTTCTCATGTTGCTATGAAGAAATACCTGAGACTGGGTATTTTATAAAGAAAAGAAGTTTAATTGGCTCACAGTTCTGCAGGGCTGGGGTGGCCTCAGGAAACTTACAATCATGGTGGAAGGGGAAGCAAACATGTCCTTCTTCACATGGCAACAGGAAGGAGAAATGCCAAGCAAACGGGGAAAAGCCCCTCATAAAACCATCAGATCCTGTGAGAACTTGCTCACTATAATGAGAATAGCATGAAGGTAACCACTCCCACGATTCAATTACATCCCACTGAGTCCATCCCACGACACGCGGGGATTATGGGAACTACAATTTAAGATAAGATTTGGGTGGGGACACAACCAAACCACATCACTGTGTCAAAGGGTAGTTCTGTTTTAAATTCTTTAAGAAATCTCTAAACTGCTTTCCACAGTGTCTGAAATAATTTACATTCCCACCAGCAGTGAGTCAACCTTCCCTTTTCTTCACAGCTTCACTAGCATCTGTTGTTTTTTGACGTTTTGATAGTAGCCATTCTGACTGATGAGAGGTGGTATCTCATTGTGGTTTTGCTTTGCACTTCTCTGATGATTAGTGATGTGGAACATTTTTTCATATTGTTGGCCACTTGTATGTCTTATTTGAGAAGTGTCTGTTCATGTCTTTTGACCATTTTTCAATGAGGTTGTTTGTTTTTTGCTTGTTTTTGTTCCTTATAGATTCTGGATATTAAACTTTTGTCAGATTCAGTTTGCAAATTGTAGGTTGTCTGTTTACTCTGTCAATAGTTTCTTTTGCTGTGCAGAAGCTCTTTAGTTTAATGAGGTCCCACTTGTCAATTTTTGTTTTTGTCATAATTGCTTTTGAGGATCTAGTTATAAATTATTTCCCAAGGCTGATGTCTAGAATGGTGTTTCCTGGGTTTTCTTCTAGGATTCTTATTGTGTGAGGTCTTTCATTTAAATCTTTAATCAATCTTGAGTTAATTTTTGTATATAAGGTGAAAGGTATGGGTCCAGTTTCGTTCTTCTGCATATGGCTAGCCAGCTATCCAAGCACCATTTATTGAATAGGGAGTGCTTTTCCCATTGCTATTTTTGTCGACTTTGTCAAGGATCAGATGGCTGTAGGTGTGCAGCTTTATCTTTGGGCTCTATATTCCATTTCATTGGTCTATGTATCTGTTTCTGTACCAGTACCATGTTGTATTGGTTATTGTAGCCATACGGTATAGTTTGAAGTCATGTAATGTGATGCCTCTCACTTTGTTCTTTTTGCTTAGGCTTGCTTTGGCTATTCAGGCTCTTTTTTGGTTCCATATGAATTTTAGGATAGCTTTCTAGCTCCATGAAGAATGATATTGGTAGCTTGATAGGAATAGCATTGAACTTGTAGATTATTTTGGGCAATACAGCCATTTTAACAATATTGAATCTTCCAATCCATGAGCATAGAATGTTTTTTCATTTTTTATGTCATCTATGGTTTCTTTCAGCAGTGTTTTGTAGTTCTCCTTTGTATAGAGCTTTCACCTCCTTTGTTAGATGTATTCTTAGGTATTTTATTTTTACTTTTTTGTAGCTATTGTAGATGGGATTGTATTCTTTATTTGGCTCTCAGCTTGAACATTATTTGTGTACAGAAATGCTACTGCTTTTTGTTCATAGAATGAACTCTTAAAACTTCACTTTGATTATATCCACAGGTTCCCACCACCACATCTTTTCACCTACTTATACCTATGCCATTTTAACCACTTTTCCTTTCTTCCTATTATTTTGAATAAACTCATTATTATTTCATCCAAGGCTAACCCTCCACTTGTGTGTGATATGCCATCTCCTCTTACTTACTAAGTTGTACCAGTCCAGATGCCCTCTTGCTCTCTCTAGTTTCATCACTTTTTCCCTTTCCATTGTATCATATTTATGATGATATCTATCCAAATCTCCCTCCAGATATTGCCCCATTTTTTGCCCCCTTTTACAAAAAAGTCCTCTAAATAGTAATTTATCCTAATTTCCTCCAATTCTTCCATTCTCCCTGAGCCCACTCCAATCAGATCAGTCACCATTATTATTTTATTGAAGCTGTTTTAATCAGAGTTTTCCAGTGACCTCCACATTGCAAAATTCAACAGTCAATATTTAGCCTCATTTTTAACTTGAGTTGTAGCCCCATTTGGCACAAATGATCATTCTTTACTCCTTGAAACACTATCTTTAGTAAGCTGCTGTGCCATCACAATTTCCATTTTCTTCCTACCTCATTGGTAGCTCCTTCTCAGATTTTCTTATACATGCTCATGGCGTGTTTCCTCACTTCCTTCAGGTCTTTGCTCAAGTATCACATCGCAGTGAAGCCTTCCCATTCTACTCCATTTAAAATGGCAACCCACAATGGTACTTTCTTTCTTGGCTTTATAGCACCCACATTGCCATCCACATACAATATGCTTCACTTATTTATTTACTGGATAGCTGACTCCTTCACTAGAATGGTAGCTTCATGAGAGCAAAGGATTTGTCTAATTTTTTATGGCTATACTTCTTGTTACAAAGCAGGGTTTGATACATAGCTGATGATAATTAAGTTTATTAATTGAGTGAGCAGATGTAACTCTTTTGCTTAAAACTTTTAAATGGTTTATTTTTGGACTTAAGGTAAAATCTGAAATGTTTACTATGGCCCATAAGTTCTGGGTGATCTACTCATTCCTTCCTCTCTAACTTCTTGTGTTCCTCTCTTTCTTGTTTCTACTTTGAGTTCCTAGAAGACACCAAACTTTCTTCTGCCTCAGGGTCTTGATATTGTTCCCTATTCCAGGAACACCATTTCCTCCTTTGTGTATCTGGATCCTGCTTACACTTTAGGTATGGGATTAATAATTACCTCCTCAAAGAGGCCTTCCCTGGCCATCATATTTTCTAGGTATTCCTCTATTATTCTCTATTATCGTACCCTATATGCTTTATTCATATCTCTGAGTTCTGATTACATCTTTTATTTTTAAAATTGAATATAATGCACATGCCCATACTCAATAGCAGTCACTTCCTCATTTTCCCCTCCTTGTGGTTCCTAGCCAACATGAATTTACTTTCTGTCTCTGTGGCATTGCCTTTTTAGGACATTTCTTATAAATAGAATCATATAATATGTGACATTTTGTGTCTGGCTTCTTTCACTTATCATAATGTTTTCAAGATTCATTCATCTTATAGCATGTATCAATACTTCATTCCTTTTATGATAAATAATATTGTATTGTATGAATATACCACATTTTTTAATCCATTCATCAGTTGATGGACATTTGGGTTGTTTTTCCTTTTTTGGCTATTAAGATACTCTTATGAACAATTATGTACAAGTTTTGGTGGGATATATATTTTCATTTCTCTTGTGTGTATACAATTTTAAATTATATGTTTATCTGCTTGTTCCTTTTTTAATTGTCAATTTTAAAATAAGGATATGCTTTATGAGGACAGGGATTATACTATATTGTTCACTTCTGTAATAATTCCTCAGTATCTAGAACAATTTTTGGCCCACAGCAAGCACTCAATATATATTTGTTGAATAATAAAGGCTTGCAGGTACACCATATACGGCCTGCTTTTTTAACTCATGGTTCAATGGATAGGTTAGCATTTTATAGTGAACTTTTGTTTTGTAGGAGCACTGGATTCTAAGCTAGAACACCTGGCTAAAAAGTTCTTCCTGTCTGAACTAGATATGTGGCTTTGGGCAAATTCTTAATATCTGTGGGCCTTTCTTATTTTCTCATTTGTAAAATGGAAAGATTGCAGTAGATCAGATATTTTCCAAATACTTTCTGTCAAGGTGAGTGTATTAGTCTATTTTCACATTGCAATAAAGATACAACCTGAGACTGGGCAAATTATAAACAAAGCAGGTTTAATTGACTCACAGTTCTGCATGGCTGGTGAGGCCTCAGGAAACTTACAATCATGGCAGAAGGTGAAGGGGGAGCAGGCACGTCTTACCATGGTGAAGCAGGAGAGAGAGAGAGAGAGAGAGAGAGAGAAACAGAGAGAGAATGAGGCAGGAACTGCCACACACTTTTAAATCAGATCTCGTGAGAACACACTCACTATCATGAGAATAGCATGGGGAAAATCCATCCCTATGATCTAATCATCTCCCACCAGGTCCCTCTCCCAACATGGGGAATTACAATCCAACATGAAATTTGGGTGAGGACATAGAACCAAACCATAGCAGTGAGTGTGAGGTTGCCTCAGTCACCATCCCTTTCCTTTGACTGGAGTGACTCTGTGCTTAGAGTAACAGGCTTCTATATATTATTTCATTTAAAATCACCATAGGAGGTATGTCAGAGCTTAAAAAAAAACAGCTTAAATATTCACTGGACACAACAGAGGTAGGTCAAGCTGCACTCAGCTCTAACTTCCTGTAATTATAAGTGCATTTGGAAATAAAAGGAAAGAGGGACAGGTAGAGTGCCAATGACTAGGAGGAGAGTTATCAGGTACTACCTGGATAGAGCCTGTTGGGCTGGTGAAACTACCTGGAAACTATTGATGCCAACCTGTGGTAGCATGTTGAAGGGTCAAAGAAAAGACCACATGGAGGATGAGAATATGATATAGATTGGAGCTAGAATTTGAAAAGCTGTAGATGCCGAGTAATATTTGTGCCCTAACACTCCTACAAACATTAAAGAGCTACTGTGGTGGTTTAAACAGGTGACATGATAAAAAGGGAAGGAAGATAAAGACATAGTAAACTAGTATGCCACTCCAGCAACTGAGATAGGCTTTCAAGAGGCAGGTAATTTGAGTAAGTTGCTTTGTTCATTATTCATTCAGTGAATTAGGGGCTTGCCATTTAGTTCTTGCATTATGTGAAGATTCTTCTGGTCTCTATATACCAGTGCATTTTGATTAGGAAGCTCACACTATTTTCATGTTTGGATCCTAGTATGAATTTAAATTCTAAAGGGCTAGCTTGTTTGAGGTTTCTTTTCCTTTGTGTTAAATTTGGTCAATTGTGAAATTAGCTTGAACTCTTTAGAGTCCCTTTAGTGGTTATATGCATGTGTAAATATTTTAGTGGGGATGTATGTGTGTCTCCCAGCTGAATGTAGGGTACAACTGAGTAGTTTTACAGAGTTCTAAGATATTCCTCAAGTGAATAAATAGTGACTAAAGAGTCTTTTTATTTCTTGCATATTGATGGATGGAGATTTATTTCCAATTGACTGTGTTCCTCCAGTGGAATAAGAACAGTGTCAGTCGCAATCCATTAAGCTGACATCTCTTGTAATTGAAAGCCAAACAGGTTTGTGTAGTATAGTAAGGATTGTTTGTGGATTTGTGGATGTATTGAGGAGAGGGAAGGTGAGATAGAAAAGATAGTGAGGAGGAAAGTCTGTAAATATAATGTTCAAACCTCAGTTTATTTAAGGAACGTGAAGTCTATCATAAGAGGGCTCCATTTAGTAAGTCATCCAAAAGATGTGTGTTAGAATAAACACCTGTTGACTGAGAAAACTGGTATCTCATCTTGAGTTATGTTTTCTACAAAAATTTTTTTTGATAATGGTTTATATTATTATGAAGTCAGAAAACATGTTTTCTGAGCATAAGTGGCGAGTATTGACTGTTGGGAAACAAATAAAAATTACAAAGTTTGCTTTTGTGGCTGGATTGGGACATGCAGGGAGTTAAAAGGAGATATAATGAAGAAAAAACTTTTAGGGTTCAGGTTTTATTGTTAACACCTAGTAGAACAATGAAGAGGCAGTCTTGCAAATTTGCAGTCTAGATCAAGCTGAAGGTACTGATTAACTTCGCCATTTGTACAGCTTGTCCTGCTTGTAAGGGTCTGGTTGTCTAGTAGAGAAAACAAAAAAGTAAACAAGCTTATATAATACAGATAGGGCTAATTGTACAGCTTGTTTATAAGTGTGCAAAGGCAGGGCACCTAAACCAATCTTGTTGGTGTGGGGTCAGGGAAGCATTTGGGAATAGCTGTGAGCTAAACTGAGCCTTAGCAAGAGGTCTGGAGTAGGACAGTGATACAGGAAGATTTCCTAATAGAGGTAGCAGCAGGTAAAAATTGCTAGGGGTAAAATTCTGGAGTACTATATGTCATTAACTGTGTTAGTTTAGTTAGCTTAGTATTCCTGGAGGTCTCTTTGATCTCTCTAGGAGATCTCTCCTGGAGTAGAACTAGGGAAGAATGGAAAGAGATGCAATTGAAGTAGGGATCAGATCATGGAGTCTTCATAAACCAGGTTAAGGAATTTCAGTCAGTGAAATAAAAATAATTAAAGGATAAAAAGAAATTGCCACAGCTGGAACCAATAACAGAGTTGTAAGATCCAAATCCAATAGCTTATACTTATTATAGATTTTTTTTGGGAAAATTTTAGGGAGGCAGAGAGATATCAAAAAAATAAAGTAGAAAATTGGAATAAGGAGAGATAAATATTTTTGGCTAAGATTTTGAAGTTTGGTTATACCCTAATTTAGCCTAACTCTGTTAAGCTTCTAGTCAATTTCATGTACTGCCCCTACACAAGAGGTGACTTGAGGACCCCTCTAGGCTCCAGACCCTCTGAGAAGAGTCATAACAGGGATCACCTCAAATACTTGTAGGAGTGAAGTAGTTAACCTAATGGAGTGAAGCATGCTGGGAGGTGATAAAACATGCTGGGAGGGCAGTGAAGTATGCTGGGAAGGGAGTAAAGCATGCTGGGAGGTGAGTGAAGCATGCTGGGAGGGAAACACAGGAGGGAAATGAAGCATGCCGATCCAAGCATGTGCCATTAAAGGAAGCAGCAGTTATTAGGCCAGCTGATGGCTAGTAACCCTGCTCTGGTGTTGCCACATCTTCTGCTTTTTCAAATATTGACAACTGGCTAAAATGTCCTCTGGTCTCTGTCTTTGCTTATGTCATAGCCACATCCTGTCATTTATGTTGTTAGACTCATAAAACTATGGAAGCTACTACCAAAATTTTCATTAAGAAATAATCAACAGTTCATAAAGTTTCCATTTTTAGTAATTCCAGAACTCTGTCTTATTAATTTTGAGTGCAAATATAAAATGCAGAGTGGATGAGATATTTGTACTGGCCTCAACAGTACTGTCTCTTTCGGCAAGAACCTATATGGGAAGCCAGTTAATCATGATGGTTGCTTGGTGAGATGACTGAAATCAGATTTTGATTTTAATTTGCATCCAACTCCATGGTAGGTCTTAGATGTGCCTGGGTTCTTGTTTCTTTGCTGCTAGGATTCCCCTTTGGTCTATCAGTGAGATCCCTTGTCCTCTGGTTTCCTGTTTCTGGCCAGTGGGGAGCCTTGACAGGAGATCTGAGGAAAGGAGAGTAAGGTCATGTATTTATTCATTTAGATGCCTCAGGGAGAAAGCACATTACAGAGTTGTTGAGAAGTTTCAATAATATGAATTTGGCATAGTCCCTGGTATGTACACTCTCAAAAATACTTTTCTAAATTAATTTTTGTTTTTATAAGAGTAATTAATATAGCTTAGAAAGTCAAACACTATTTTCCTATTTCTACTGTGGGAAGCTGGTGTCCCTTTGGGCCTAAGATTGGTTTTAGCTTCACTTCTTCTAGTTCGATATTTCTGCATTATCCTTTCTGGCTCGCTATCTCCACTTGGAACATTAAAATGAATTTCTTTTTATATAAACCCTCCTGGAATTATTCTAATGTGAATGTGCCATCCACTTCCTGTGGGAATCTTGACCATTCAATACTTGAAACCATTATCTTCTCTAAGTCCCATTTCAGGCAGAGCAGTCCTGACATGCAATTCGGAATATACCACTTCCCTTCTAAATAGTCTATGTATGTCCATTAGGTTAGACATTTGTTAATTGTATCATTTAGAATCTTTTATTCTAATAAAATGTTTATTTATCTATATTATTACATTTCTGAATACTCCATTTGGTTCTTTTTTTATGTTTCCCATTGCTTTGTTACAGTGTTTAGATTTTTCCTTTGGGTTTCAGCTATTTAATATTTTTATTATTTTAAACATATTTTATATGTTTTAAAATTTTATTTCTGTAATCTCAAGTTTTCATAGTTCCAATCCTACTGTTTTTAAGTTTGCTATCTCTTACACATAGTGAACTATTATGTCTTTTATAATGCTTATTGCTAGTTCATCTTTGTGTGTGTATGAGAGAGAAAGAGAAAGAGAGATAGAGAGAGAGAGAGAGGAGAGACAGAGAATGGTCTAGGCCGGGCGTAGTGGCTCACACCTGTAATCCCAGCACTTTGGGAGGCCAAGGCAGGCGGATCACGAGGTCAGGAGATCGAGACCATCCTGGCGAACACGGTGAAATCCCGTCTCTACTAAAAAATCAAAAAACAAAAAATTAGCCGCGCGTGGTGGCAGGCGCCTGTAGTCCCAGCTACTCGGTTGGCTGAGGCAGGAGAATGGCGTGAGCCCAGGAGGCGGAGCTTGCAGTGAGCAGAGATCGCGCCACTGCACTCCAGCCTGGGCGACAGAGCGAGACTCTGTCTCAAAAAAAATAAAAAATAAAAAAAAAGAGAATGGTCTAATGGTGCAGCATGTGGGAGCGTCACTGCAATTCACTCATTTATTTAAGAAGCCCTAGGAATATCAAAAGTCTGAACCTATTTTATGTTATTTTATATTTATTGGCTCTGAGGTTCTGAACACCACACACCAGCACAGGCCTATTTTTTGGTGTGTGATATTTCTAATAAACTTTCTTAGTTGTTTACTAACTTGGAGCTCAGGAAGAGTTAAAGTCAATTACCATCTGCCTGTACTAGTGGACAAATTTTTTCTATTATACCCCTAAGTGATCATGAAACCCTAAGACCCTGGGTTTATGAGGATATCTCGGTTGCAAGTCTCCACATACATAGGCCAGACACATTCTTTTTCCCTTGTGTGTGTCAGGTCCTAAAATAGTTTAGTAAGATTAGCTGCTCTCCCTTTGACCCATCCCCGCTTTCCCAATCATAGCATCGGCTTATGTCATTATATGGTGGTTTGAGGATCTCCATATTACTACATGGTAGTTTAGGGGAATCTTGTTTGGCACCTGATTATTTCACTTGATTTTTTTCTGAGTTTAGTAATGCATTTCAAGAATGTTAAATTACAGCCAGATATCTTAGGATTTGCTGTGGGAGGGTTTCAGGTTATCAAGTCTGTTATATTTTTTGAACCATACACTCTTGAATTGACTCACTGGTCTTCTCAGTCTTTCTTTTCTAGCAAAGTAGCCATATAATTGGTAGATTCAATAGCATGTTTCTATTTTCCTCCTACATGGCTGTTGCAGCATTTGATACTCTCGTCCACATTTTCCTTCATCTAATACCCTATCTCTTTGCTTCCACGGTATTTCTCACTTCTGACTCACCTTCAGTCTCTCAATTTACCTGAATCTTCTCCTATCCACCCCTCCATTGCTGTGCTTCCTGTTATTTTTTTCTATATAAATTATCTCTTTTCTCTTACACATTCTCCCTGGGTGATTATATAAAATCATAAATTAAGCAATCACTTTTTGTTTGATGCCTCCCTGTGTTTTTCCTACTAGTCAAATTCTTTCCTGAGGTCAAAACTCCTAACTTAATTGATTAATTATTTCCAGCTGATGTCCCTTAGGCATCTCAAACATGTCCAAATTTAAATTCATTACTTTTCTTGCAATTTCTTCCCACTTTTCTATTTAAATTCTCAGTATCATTGTCAAATTAGAAAGGAATAAGATTGGGTCTTTAAGGTCAATAACTATCTTTGAATAAAAGACTTTGATAATACCAAAATGTATGCTTATATATATCGGAAACTATATAATGAGCTTCCTATATACTTTTTTTCCTCACTAGTATTTTCAGTGTTTATGTTTATTGGGTTGAGTTGCTTTGTCCTATGTCAGGCCATGAAAAACAGCTGTTCAAAGTTTAAAGGCAAAAAGGTCAAGATTAAGTGGATTTGCCATCTTTATTTCTCTTCACACTTTCTAGGAAGGGTGCTAAATAAACTATGATGTATAATATTTTTACAATGAGGACATAAAATAACATTGTATGCTGGTAAAATAGCTGTAAATTGTTACAGATAATGGAAAAGATGTTATTGTCCTTTCAAGGAACTTGTTTGATAAATGATCTGAGCTAATCCCTCCATAGCGTATGTTTCAGCCACTCAGACTGCTTATTCCTCAAACAATCCATGAACTTCCACTTTGGGTCTTTGTTCATGCTTTTTCATGCCCTTTGGTACACCAAAATTTTACTCACTATTGAAAACTCAGGTCAAATGCTGCCACGGCTCTGAAGCTATAATCCTCTGAATTAGAATTAATACTCTTCCCTGCACCCTTCCCTTCGTGTACCAAAGCACTGTTTTTTTTTTTTTTGAGAAAATGTTTTATCATGCTAAAAAACATATAACATAAACTTATTCTTTTAAAGTTTTTAAGTGTATAATATTGTTAACTATATGTACATCATTGTACAGCAGATCTCTAGAACTGTTTCATTTTGCATGACAAACTTTATACCCACTGAAAAACAACTCTCCATTTCCCTCTTCCCCCAGCCCTTGGCAACCATTATTCTACCTTATTTTTCTATGAATTTGATTACTTTAGATATCCCATGTAAGTAGAAACATGCAGTATTTGTCTTTATGTGACTGGCTTATTTCACTTAACGTAATATCTTCAAGGTTCATTCATGTTGTGGCATATGACAGAATTTTCCTTTTTTAAACAAGGCTAAGTAGTATTCCATTGTATGTCCATACTATATTTTCTTTACCAGTTTATCAATTGATAGACATTGAGGTTGCTTTCACATTCTGAATAATGCTACAATGAACGTGGATGTTCAAATATCTCTTTGAGATCCTGTTTTTAATGCTTTTGAGTATATACCCAGAAACGGGATTATTGGATTTTATGGTAGTTCCGTTTTTAATTTTTTGAGAAGACTCCATGCTGTTTTCCACAGTAGCTGTGCCATTTTATAATCCCACGAATACTGCACAAGGGTTTCAATTTTTCCACATCCTCACCAGCACCTGTGATTTTTCTGTTTTTTGATGGTGGCCATCCTAACAGGTGTGGCATGATATCTTATTATGCCAAAGGACAGATTTTTTTTTTTTTTTTTTGAGATGGAGTCTTGCTGTGTCATGCAGGCTGGAGTGCAATGGTGCTATCTGGGCTCACTGCAACGTCCGCCTCCTGGGTTCAAGTGATTCTCCTCCTTCAGCCTCCCAAGTAGCTGGGATTACTGGGATTACTGGGATTACAGCCTTCAAGTACTTTTTTGTATTTTTAGTAGAGACAGGATTTCACCATGTTGGCCAGACTGGTATTGAACTCCTGACCTCAGGCGATCCGCCTGCCTCGACCTTCCAAAGTGCTAGGATTATAGGTGTGAGCCACCACACCCAGCAGGACTGATTGTTATTTAATTCTGTCTTGGATTTGAGTTAGTTGTTTACATGTCTATTTCTTCACTAATCATAGAGTAGAAACTTTATTTGTAGTAACCTCATAGTGCCTAGTACCTAGTAGGTGTTCAATGCATATTTATATATAATTCCTGTTAGCAGGTTATCTATGTCCTGTTGGTTATATATCTGTCAGCATGTATAGAAAGTGCTGATCTTTTCAACACCAGCCATATACTTCTTTTTTAATAGAAAAATATGGACTGTGTTTCATTATTATCCCTTTTCCCATGGAATTCTATTTTGTTGGGGTAATTATTCTATTACTGTTCCAAAATGAAAATTTTAAAAAAGAAAATTAATACATAATTATATTGCTTTGTGTGTAATAGCTTTATTTTAACATGAAATGTTACATTCTACAAATCAACATGTAAATACTTATATATAATATGTTTATCTACATATAATAATATATATAGGAGAAAGTATTTTGCATATGATGAATTGAACTTGACACTAATGACAACTCAAAGTAAAGAAACTTGTTGAAAGCAACTGGAACTACATGATTTATTGAACACAATGGGATGAAAATGAGACTTTTTACCTTTCTCTTTTAGTGTTATACACTAAGGTTCTCAACATTTTCTATTACAGCTTGCTAAAGTGAATCAATAAATCTCTACATTTTACTTGCAATGTTATTTTATCTTTCTCTTGGACATCTGCTCATACTTCATCCTTTTGAGAAATTTTAAAAGGCTGTTTCCCCCCTAAGATTGCCTGTTATAGCTGATGACCAGAAAAGATATGTGCAAAATAGAAAATGGGAGGACAGCAGGGCTATTACATAAGGTCCAGTCACATTAGCTTAGATCAAAAATGCTTATTCTGTTTTTTATCCCATGTAACCTGATCCTTGGAATCTGACTTTAGGCAAACAAAGAAAGCACAAGCTCAGTGGGACAATTAAAAGGTCACAGTTGAATTCTTTAGGACTTGAATTGAACCTTGTCTAGAGTGACAAGGTTGGGTACCATATGTCAATACTAGTGAGAAAAAAGCACAAAAAAATTGCACAATAAGAGATAGAATTCCCTAATAAAAAGGACAGCAACTTTAGTATATGGCTAGAATTAAATATTTATGCAATAATTACAAAAATAAACCTCAAAAAAGGCACCAATAGATTATAAGCAATTCTGGTAAAATGTCTATGTTGCCCTTTATTAGCAGAATATGTCAGCAGCTGTGTTTGACATGATGGAACAGGATGGTTTATGTTGCATTGCACTTACTCTTCCCTATTCCTTTGTATACAGCAAACTAGGATATCTGCAGGCCTCACCATTCTCTGCAAGCAATGAAGCCACATTAACATTAATGCCTGCATTTTGCTGCTTTGTAGCGCTTTTCTGTACAACTGTGGGACATCAATTTTTTCCTTCTCCCATTTTAAATCTCCCCTGTTTATTTCTAGGCATCTCTGGGAGGGTTCTTATAAAGTCTGAAGAAGAATCCCATTAATCTGCTTTTGTCTCTGATGTCAGCTGCTCATGAGTCACTGTTGGAAGTGTCTCAGCACTGTCGCTGGTGCTGGTGCCGTGCTGAGCATCTCAGACCATTCTGCTGCCCCCTCCATAACTGTCCCACATTTTAGCGCTTGGGCTTTACTAGGCCTGTGTAAATCGTTAAGTCTCATGGAGTTCCTCTTAAACATAGCCTTTCTAGCTTCTACCTTCAACCTTCAGCTATTCGCTAATTTCTACCTTCCATATTCCACCCTCTGCCCTTTATACACACACTCACACACACATTCACACACCCACATCCCTCATACCCTTTACACAGTTCAGACATTCAAGAGTCAAATCTCCCCTTGAACCTAAAACAAGAGTCCTTCCTCATTTCAACTTAAACAAATGGGTTCGGAGGAGGAGGGGCAGGGCACATTCCATGTATTTGCAGTTATTGTTCAGGTTCCACATGAATATCCAACCTGATATTCATGATATAAGAGACAGGGAAAATCAGGGTAAAACAGGTTAGATAGGGAAATGAGAGTATAAAATAGGAAGAGATGAGCTCAGTCATTGCAGCCTCTTGGAAAGTAAAATGAATGGCAGTGGCAAACTGTTGTGCTTAGGAGTACAGACTGCTGGGTTTCAAATCTAGCTCTACTACTTATATGATTTGGGTAAGTTACTAAAATCCTCTGCATCTATTTTTTTCTGATCTGCAAATTGGGAATAATAATAGTATCTATCTCACAGGGTTTTAGTGAAGATTAAATTAGTAAATATATGCAAAGTACTTATGAAGGGCGATATACTTATTGACTGTTATTAATTATTATTGTTTGCCATGAAAACTATCAATCCTAGATTCTATATCCATGCCTTAATCAGGAGGTGAATTAATTCTTGTGTATATGCCCGTCTTGAAGCCACGATCAACATTTCTGAATCCGGAGACAGTTGTGTTCAGCAGGTTGTTAAAACATCCCACTCTTCTTAGAGTCTGAAACCCCCAACCCTCTTCTTCAATGCTATTCTTATGATTTCACTAGGCTCCTATGCCATAGATAATCCCTGCCTTTCTGCGGCTCCGAGCCTGCTACCCCTGCCTTCTTGACCTTTTCAGATTGGCCTCCTTGTCTATTTCTCATCATAGAGGATCTTCCACATGTCTTCTGCTTAGCTGGACTTGTGGTCTTGGTCTCTCTGAGTCAGTCCTCTCCTGTTGAAGCTGTACCCTGCCATGACAGGACTGAATATTTGGAAATTATAAGCAGATGGATTGTGATGAATATGATCTATTTTGCCCTCGCTCATCTCAGTAACAGGTGGCTGCTCAGCCAGCTGGGGTCTTCTTGAGGACACTCTCCCAGGCCTCCCTCTGACCATATGCACTCCCGTCCAGATGGTGACATGGTTCCCCAGAGTCCTGAATCAATGTAATGGGAGATGGCAGGCCTATGCTGATTTTGCCTAGGGTCTAATACAAGCATGCAGTTTTTAAATTTTATTTTCTAATTTGGGGAAAAGGAACAAACCCTATGTGAAAATCATGTTCACAATGTGGTTTCAAATTCTCTCACAGGAAGTCTAAGTTTGTGTGATTAAATTAACATTCATAAATGCCAAGGCAAGGAAACAAATTAATTTAACTGTTGGAAAAGATAGAGATGATTTTGGATCATCTAATAAGCTAATGTATTTGATGATTTACTTCACTGATCTGATTTCTCTGTGTAAAGATTCTTGCTACATTAAAATAGGGGTAAACATGTTTATTCTGTTAAGATTCAACTTGGTAAGAGGTGGAGACCAGTTGCTTTCACTTAAGGTTAAAATAACTACTTTATACTCTATTCCAGAACTAACTTACTTTCAAACAAATTATGGCTTACAAGAACAGTACATATTTGCTTACAGTTATCTCTGCTTATACAGTGTGTTTTCTGATGCATTTATGCAAGTGTTGATTAAATCCTTCATGCTGCTTGAATGTTTATTATCATTGAATTGTTGGTTAAGAAAATCAGAGAAAAATGTTCCAGGATCAAGACGTAGACATTGTTGAGGCCTAAAAAAGAATAAATGATAAGGACATTATTTAAGAGGTTGAAAATTTATAACAACTGCAAGGGGAACAGTTTATGGATGTTTTTCCAGTTAATTTTAAAACCTTAACTATTTAAAGTTTCAATATTAATATTTTTAAATATGAGCTTTGTAATATCTAGAACCACAATGATTTTAAGTTCTATAAGATTGATCTATCTATCTATCTATCTATCTATCTATCTATCTACTTTCTGATAAAGTAGCATATCTATCTTTTGGGTGTGTGTACCTTTAGCATATGACATTAAAAGTTTTAGTAACATTCTTCTCAGTAACATGGCTTCTTCTTGACATGACAGTATTCTGATGATGATCGCCATTGTTTCCCTTGTGCATCATCTATGTTCAATGTGTCTGCTATTGTTTATTTCTTGCCCTGCAGATTAAGCTCAGTGAAAAGGAAAGAAAGGTTAGGAAAGGAGAGAAAACTAATAAAGGACAGAAAGATCAGGATAACAGCAATAATGTTGTCCAAATAATGTTCAATATTTGTGTTAATGGATAATATTTTTAAAAAGAGAAAATTATGACTCCTACAAATATGAAATGAATATATGTCAAAAATTTTATTTAACTTTTTAATTAATGAGAACCAGTAAGATGTTACGACTGGTTAAAAGGAGAATTTAACTTACAACAATTTATATTTTCCTTTGGACAAAGTCTATTTGCATTTGTATGAACAGGAATTATTTGCATAACTTTGAACAAGAAACATTTTCATTACTATCAGTTTTCTAAATAGTATAGTCAAAACAACCAAAGGTAGAGATAATCTTAATGGTTGAGAGTTGACACCAACTTCTTTTCTTTTTCCTTTTTCTTTCAACTATTTTTAAATCATTCATAATACTTTCTGATTCATACACATAGTGCCTAAATCTCAACATAACATTCATAAGGCAAAAAATTTCAAAAGGAGTGTTGCTTTATTTCAAAACTAATGAAATTTTAGAACCTTAGCAGCTGGCTGGCCATGTAATTGATGCCTATCCATTGATTCGACCACCCTCCTAGACCTGACTCCTGTATTTGTTTCCTCACACTTAAAGGGAACTCAATGAGTCAGGTGAGTACTGTGCAAACAGGAACCCTCTGTCTTTTTTCTGCTTCCGGACAAAGCTTTGCTTGCCAGCCCAACTCTTTTGGATTACAGAGGTTCCACACTAGGAGTGGCAAGCAGAGAAGACCAGAGACCACCATTCCCAGCTCTGTTGCAGTGGTGCTAAGGTTCTGCCCAAAGGGAAGGCAAACCATGAGGATGAAGGGCTTCATAGTTCTGGTTGAAGGGACTTACTTTGTATGTAACAGATGGAAAAATATATACTGTGCAAAAAGTAACCATGAAAGAGCTGAAGTGGCTGTGCTAATATTAGATAAAGTAGACTTTAAAACCAAAAAATATTTCTAATGATAAAGAGGAACATTTTATAAAGATAAAATAGTCAGTCTATCAGAAAGATACAATAATCATATATTCAGCAAGCTTTTGATAATTTAATCAGTGATCAAAGAACAACAGTGTACCATTTCTAAAATATTCAGAGGTGTTGATAATACATATTAATTCCAACAATTATTCATCACTATTTTGGTCCAGGAATTATGACAGGCCCCGGGGACGCAAAGCTATATAGACTGCTAGTCTTGAAGAATTCAGGAGATATAGATATTTTAAAAACTTACTAGTTTAATAATCTAATGTGATAAGGGATTTTATAGAGTATTTGGAGAAAGTATTTTAACAAAAAAGACTAATACAATAATAGAATAAAGCTAATTTACCCTGTAGATGAAGTCTTACAAAGTGCATTTATAACATTATTTCATTTGATTGTCACAAGTACTTGCTCTTATGCAGCTGAAACACTTGAAGTTCAGAAAAGCCAAGTCCAAAAAACTGATCTGCAAATATGTTTACAATATATCAAAGAAAAAAACCTGTCTACACAACTATGTGCATTATGTAATCCCACTAAAATGTATACATGCATACCTATACATATATACACAAAAATTAGAATACATTCACAGAAAATAGGGTTTGGAAGCATAAACCAGCAGGCTAGAAGTAGTTGTTTTTGAATAAATAGAATTATGAATGTATTTTGTTTTATTTTTTTTCATGTACATATTTTCTGATTTTTCTCTAATGAACATGTATTCATTGGCTTAGAATTAATGTATTGGCTTATACGTGTTAAATTGACAAAACAATAAAATTGAACCCAAATGTAAGAAGATAAAACTATAACACTCTTAGAAGACTTAGGAGTTAGTCTTTATGATTGACTTTTTAGATTTAATACCAGAAGTACAAGCAACCAAAGGAAAAAAAAAAGATAAATTGAACTTCATTCAAAGTGAAACATTGTGGTATGAATAATAACATCAGGAAGTTAAAAGAATCCACACAATGAAATAAAATGTTATCAAACCACATATCTGATAAGGAACTTGTATCCAGATTACATAAGTATCACAATTCAATGACAATATAACAAATAACCCATTAAAATGGGTAAAGTGTTAGACATTTCTCCCAAGAAGTTATACAAATGATTAATAAGCATCATCATTTACTAAGGAAATGCAAATTAAACTACAATGAGATACCCCTTAAAATCCACTAGGATGGTTATAATGTAAGAGATAGACAATAACAAGTGATGGCAAAAGTATGGAAAAATTGATATTCTTATAAGTTGCTAGTGAATGTACAATGGCACAACCACTTTGAAAAACAGTTTGGCAGTTCCTTAAAATGCTAAACATAGAGTTATCATAGAATCCAGTAGTCACACTCCTTGGCATATACCTGAGAAATGAAAACATGTATCCACACAAGAACTTGTACATGAATGCTCATAGCAGCGTTATTCATAATAGTCAAAAAGTAAAAACAATTCAAATGTCTATTACCTGATGAGTAGATAAATAAAATATAGTGCATCCATACAGTGGGATATTATTTGGCAATAGGAGGAATGAAATACTGATACATGCTACAATATAGATAAACCTTTTCCACATTAAGCTAAATGAAAGAAGATAGTCACAAAAGATTACATGTTATGTATATATGTATGATTCCATTTCTATGAAATGTCCAGAATAGACAGACCTATAAAGATAGCAAGTAGACTAGTGGTTACCTTGAGATGAGGGTGGGGGAGTGTATTGAGAGTGACTGTTAATGGGTATTGGTTGCTTTTAGCGGGACACAAAGATGTTCAAAAGTAGGTTGTGGTGGTTGTTGCACAATCCTGCAAATATACTAAAAACATTGAAGTGTACACATTAAATGGGTAAATTATACTGCAAATGAATTATATATCAATAAAGCTGTTAAAAGTATCTTTTGAGTGCATCACAGTTAGCAAAGGCACTTTTCTAGATATTTCTCTTAAATGCTACAATAAAGTGTGTCGCTATAATACTTATTATTATTTTCAAACAAATTTTAGACAGGGAACCGAGCTTCAAAGAGAAACAGTGACTTGCCCAAGGTGAAATTAACAGAGCTAGAACAGGGATATTAAATCTTTTTAATTGAAATCTGCTCTTTCCACTGTACCATGCCATTGGTTATATTACACCTGCAAAGATCAAACTGCAACATTTTCCATATACTTATCTAACTTATATGCCTGGATTTGTACTGGAATTTTGTAAAATTCAAAAGCAAATTACTTGGCATTATTTGCATGCCATAACATAAAACAAAATTTGTTTAAACTTCTGTGAGCCAATTAAAAGGATTACATATCAGTTGAATAATTAATTTTATTATGGTACAACCCATATCACATAGATCATCTAATTGGGAACTGAGGGGGAAAATGAGCTTTATATAACTAATACTTTAGATCTCCTTAACTTCCATATGCATATTTAGTATGCTAAAATTCCAAATTAAAAATAAAACACAAGCTGCAAAGTGAATGAAAACAGCAACAGTCCTTTTAATCGTTGGTCAGTGCTACATAATTAGATATTTATATTTTTAGGAAAGTTAAAATTTTGTACATTTTACTCAATGAAGATCAAGAATAAATAGCTTGATAATTTCATTATAGATTGTGGGAAGTGCCTTGGAAATGGTAAAGGGTTAATATACTTATTAATCTGGCTAACATTTTTTAGAGAGGGCACGAAGGTCTCCTAAATTCTGCTGCAGTTCTCTTTCCAGAGCACTGCATTCTGAATGCTGAAACGCAACACTTCGTAGAATGTAAAATAAAACCATTAGTTCTCTTTGACCCTATTCCAGGATAATTTGACTAGAAATTAATAACTGTCAACTAGAGATATTTCACTGGCACTAAGGCAAAATGTTGCGTAATTCCTCCTTTAGGTTACTCACATTGCACACCACATTTACATTTGAAAATTAAGTTACTGGCTGGAGTAAGGAAAAGGATTTTAATCTGCAAAACAATTATTGCTTTTTTCTGAGGTCATGAATTTGGTTTTCTAGATATTTTGAAGTGCTGGCTCACTCAATTGCTGAGTAACAAGGCTAATGATAAGGTTTCAATGACTTTGTATTAAAGTATTCAGTGTTTTACATTTGAATGGATCTTTACAAGATATTTGAAACAAAATTATCCCATGACAACAATATTAAACAATAAAAACAAACAAACAAAATCAATGACACATAATGTTTACCTAGTGCTAAATACACGGATTTGTTTTTGAAGAAAAAAACAGACCCTATAAGACAAAACTTAAATTGTGATTAAAATCCATATTTAATTATACTTTTTCTCCTTTGAGATAATTTCTCTTCATCCTACTCCTGGCCAAAGAAACAAAATATTTTTTGTTTATATATATATTCTCCTGTGCTATAGCAGCAAGGAGTCCTGAATCTCTGAAAGCTTTGTAGACATCATTAGAAAGAAAGAATTGTGTCTTTTTCACTTTTTAATTCCATGCAAACGATCATTTATTGAGTGCCTTCTTTGTGTTAGGTGCATTGCATGTGGTCCGTGTGAAGAGACCACGAAACAGGCTTTGTGTGAGCAATAAAGTTTTTAATCACCTGGGTGCAGGTGGGCTGAGTCCAAAAAGAGAGTCAGCGAAGGGAGATAAGGGTGGGGCCGTTTTATAGGATTTGGGTAGGTAAAGGAAAATTACAGTCAAAGGGGGTTTGTTCTCTGGCAGGCAGGAGTGGGGGTCGCAAGGTGCTCAGTGGGGGAGCTTTTTGAGCCAGGATGAGCCAGGAAAAGGACTTTCACAAGGTAATGTCATCAGTTAAGGCAAGGACCGGCCATTTACACTTCTTTTGTGGTGGAATGTCATCAGTTAAGGTGGGGCAGGGCATATTCACTTCTTTTGTGATTCTTCAGTTACTTCAGGCCATCTGGGCGTATATGTGCAGGTCACAGGGGATGCGATGGCTTGGCTTGGGCTCAGAGGCCTGACAGTGCACCCTATCCATGACCTACTTGCCAGTGATGGGAAGCACATGGGTTAGAGCCAGCTTAGGTTCTTAATTCATTATACACTTTTCTGCCACTTCATTCAACAACTGTTTGCTCATCTTCAGCTACCCTTACCAAATTGTCATGGCAATAGTGTAGTTTGGGATCCCACAGCTTTGTTTTCAAGGCTTATTATGATTTAGATAAATTTGGGCTCATGAGGCAGCTTTGTTTGGTGTCTTCAGCAGGAGTTTAAAAGGACAGATGGAAATGTGCCCATGGCATATCAATGCCTTGTAATTCACTGGATGGCGGCAGTGACACCTGAATTCCTGGGATGGGGGTGGTTGGCGCTCAGAAATGGTTGGAGTCTGACAATTTGGAAACGAAGCAGCTACCTTTGAATACGGAAGAGGATTGTGGTTATGTTAATATTTTACTTCTGAATATGCACTTTCGCCAAAAGGAAAAATTTGGATGGGCTATAGATTTAGTTGGAAAAAGTTGGGGTATTGTAACAAGACAAAGCTGGGTTTACATGTCATCTCTTCTATTCTACTAAATGACATTAGGCAAGTTAGTCAATGTGAGTCCTTTTCTTCATTTGTAAGATGTAGATAGGAAAATTTATCACTCTAGTTTGTCATAGTGATTAAATTAGACTATACAAAGACTTAGAAGGCATTTGAGTGTTAGCGAGCTTTATACTTTCCAGAAATCTAGTGAATAAGGATAACCAAGGAAAGACTGGGTAGATTTTGTGTTCAATTCTATGAGACTTCTAGGCTAGCAGCCTGGAATTCATGTGTAGTTACTAAAGCATGCCAGCTCCGTAGTATTTTATGATTTACTGAGCATTGTCAACCCATTATTTCACTTTATTCTTATGAAATCCTTTTGGTAGATGTAGGGCTAGCATTTTACATGTATACTATTTGTTTACAGAAGTCTTGTGACTTAGCCAAAGTCACAGAATTGTTAGGAGAAGCCAAGATAAAAGTCAGGTCTCCTGTCTTCAGCAGTGCCTTCATTAGGGGCCTCTTCTGAGAGGAGGGAATATGGTGGTCTTGCAAGGTTCATGGCATTCAGATCAATTGAACCTACAATTTCTACTTCATTTATTCTCCTGTAAAATATGCACCTTAAAGAGAAAAAAAATGCCTTTTAAGGGAAAACACAGAACACGTTCTAGTAATAGTTTTGTACGCTTGACAATTTATGCTGATTGATTTGTTGTGTCACCAAACAAATATCATTTTTATATTTTCAATTACCATTTACATTTCCTCTAAGATTTTATACCAGTCTAGTCATCTAATGAATTAAATTTGCATTCATTTCACTTCAGAAAGGTTGAGAGAATTTCCTATTATGAATAATTTAATGGAAAAAATTTACATAAATTGAATTCTTCGAATTTCGTTTTAATGGTATTGGTCATGAAAAGTAAATAGCAACCTAACTTCATGGGTATTTTTGCATTTTGTGTCTGAATGGATTTTAAGGTAATGCTAGTTTTTTTTTTTTTAAGTAAGATTGTATTAAATAAGTTGTTTATATGAGCAATTATAGTTGTCTGATTTTACTATATACTCCATAAATGATTTCTTTTGGAATTTCAGTGTACATTGCTGTCCTAAGAAGAGAAAATAGGAAGTGGATAATGTTTACTGGCAAGAAATCTTAAAAAAAGAAGAGCAGAAATGAAGGTATAGGAACAGGTTCATATACACAGTATCTTTACTCTTTCCTGCTCAGGAAATCAGGCCTAGTAATGAACTTTGATTGTTCCATTCAATTTCAGCTAGTAGCTGTAATGAATCAAGTTACTCTATAACCTCATTAATACTAAATACCTCTCTTTCTAGCCTTTGGTTTCCTAAATAACTATCCATCCACATCTTGGTTAAGGACTGTTCCTAGTGCCTTTAGTAATCAATGGATGGTAGCCTTACTCAACAGCTTCTTAAAAAGCCAAAGATCATTTACTATATTTGGAAAAATTCAATGGATATCTGACAGCACGTGAGAGTTCCTTGCATCTGTCAATCTCTTATTTGGTCATCAATGTGCAGTCTGTCAGTTAGATGGTCTCTGTAGGTAGAAGTAAGCCTTGTTAATCTCTATAAAACCCAGAAATCCCTGCTCCATCATTCCAACTTAATGGCTGATTTTTATGCTGGAAGAACAGTGCATATACATTTAAAGCAGCAAGATCTCTGCAGATTCAACAGAATGCTAAGTGAAACAGAGATGCTTTCGTTGCACAATATAATGAATCAGAAACATGAGAAACATAAAAATTTTAAAAACATAGGCTTAAATGTCAGATTGCAGAACAACAACCACCCAAGTTTTTTACTATGTTTGATGGGAAGATGTTAGAACAAAATATTGCACTTATCTTACAGAAACCTAGAGTCACATATACTCATTTATTTCTGCATATTAAGACAAACTTTAAGATTAGTATTAAATTTAAAATTTTTTGTCTATAACAAAAATGTATACATGATTATGATTGATGATGTAGGTCACTTCATGATCTAGCAATGGCAAATAAGTAGTCTATATCAATAGGCTTGAATTTTACTTTCATTCATGGTCATTCATTTATTGGAACAGATGTGTAATAAAACATTACACATCTGTTCAAATAAAGATACTAATGTGAGTTATAGATAATATAGGCACAGAAAAAATGTGAAGTTACTTTCCATATGATCACAATTTTGTATAAGTGAGATTTTAAAGGGAAAATAATAGAAAATGTTATCATTGTGGCTTCTGGATCAGGTATAAATTTCATCAAACAAGTCTGATTAAAAATGTAGCTTATGGCTATGTATGATTACCAGCTCTCAGCTAAAGGAAATGCAAAGTTGGGAGAATTGTCACTTTGATATTCTTCTTCTGACATAAAATACCAAATACAATGGCCTTTCTCAGACCATATATTCCTACAATTTCTTACATTTTCATGATGCTGTTTTTTTTCTCATTCTTCAATTTGAATAACCCCATGTATTAGTTTCTTAAGGTTGCTGTAATAAATTACTACTAACTGGGTGGTTCAGGACAACAAAAATATATTCTCTCAGAATTTTAGAGCCTAGAAGTTTGAAATCAAAGTATCAGCAGGGTTGGTTTCTTCTGGAGGCTCTAAGGGGGATGCATCTCAGCCCTTTCTCCTAGCTTCTGGGGGCTTTGGGCAATCCTTGATGTTCCCTGGTTTTTACTGCATACACATAACTCTAATTCATCTCTGCCTTCACATGGCCTTCCCATCTGTGACTCAGTGTCTCAATTCTCCCTCTCCCTTCTTCTTATAAGGAGACTTGTTATTGGATTTAGGGCCCACCCAAAATCTGGATGACCTTATCTTGTAATCCTTAACCTAATTATATTTACTAAGATGCTTTCTCCAAATAAGTTACTGAGGGTTAGGACTTGGACATAACTTTTGGGGAGCTATTATTCAACCCATTTTAACCCCTTATCCCTTAGTTTCACAAATTGGTCAAGTCCAATCTAAATTTTGCCAGAGAGCAAAGAAATAAAAGAATCAATGACAATAAAATTTTCACAAAGTCAAATGAATTAAATGTAGAGAATGGTTCTTTATTCTGAGGTTAGTCCTCCCTAGTTTCTTCTTATTAAAATGTGATAGTAATAGTAGATGGCAATTATTTTAAAATGTTTTGTGTATTTTTTTTTTTTCTTGGCACATTTTGGAAAAGACTGTACTAATGCAATCAAACTCCTAAACTGATTTATCTATCAATTTATTAGGACTCTTATTTGCCAGTGGCCAAAACTGTTTCTGAGAATATAGCTGCTTGAAGTTTTGGACTCATTCATCTGACATATATTCTTAAGTGCTTATTTTGTGCCCATCACTGTCTTGCAATAAATAAGACTAAGAATGTTTTTGTTCTCATGAAACCCAAATTGTAGTAATCCACATTTTTTCAACTTGATCACCAAGAGGTAAAAAAATCTCCACAGCTGCAGTGAGAGTCATTTTCAGGGAAGGATTCCAATTGGCTCAGCCTGAACTATGTGCCTTCCCACCCTTGAACCAATCCCTTTCCCATCCTGGGTCACATGCTCAGCCCTGGGGGTCCACATGACAGGCCTATTGCTAAAAGGAGGTGAGAGAAACTGCATAGACAAAAACAGAAGATGTTGATGACCATTACTAAAGGTCATCACAAAAGTGTGTTTTTGTGCACTACAAGTGCATAGCATTCAGTTTTGGATTTTCCCTGTTAGTCCATGGTCCTTTTGTCCATCTTGGTATTTATTTCATGTGTGTGTTCACTGGAGGTCTGCTGAGATGTTGTACCTGATGTTGGGAATGTAAATATAAATAGAACACAGGTACTTCCCCCAAATAACTCATAACTTGTAGGCAAGAACAATTGTAAACATTCAATTAAAACATAACATGGTAATTACTCTCATTGGGATCTGGGAAAAGCACTGTTTGCAGAAAGAAATAACTAACCAAGCCTGGAATGGGTTAAGATTGACAAATGAAAGAAGCATGGAGTAAGCCTTACAGGCATAAATAAAAAGTGGGATGTGAAAAGGCACAGGCTTTTGAAGGAGTACTGCATACTTTCAGACCAGTTTAGGGTAGTTAGATCAGTTTAGGATGTGTGGTGGAGGGGAGAGTATGAAATGGGGCCAGAGGTTACAGAGTGAAAGCCTTATATGACTTGGATTGCATCTTTTAACAAGCCTCTTAAATGTCTTTGTGGTGAGTGGATTTTCTTTTCTTCAGTCCTGAAAGTTGTTATCCAATTATTATTCTTAATGCTTGTTTTGGTCATGTTATCTTTTTGTTGAAAAACTGACATAGACTGCTATGACCTAAAACATATAGTCTAGGCTTGCAGCTCTTGTTTTAGAGATAATACAAGTGAAGCACTTGAGACAGTACCTGGCAGGCACATGGCCAGTTCTCATTTCATGTAAATTACTCTTGTTATTTGTGTTGTTAGCCTGGCATTCCTGCATTCTTTAGGTTATTTTTTCAATTTCTTCTATCATCACTTTCCAATCTGTCCAAAACCCAAGGAACTCATTCTTTCCCAAATGTGTCTTGTTTCTTTCCAGCTTTGTTCCTGTAGTGTCTTCATAGGTTGGAATCTTACCCATACTTCAAACTCTCACTCAAAGGTTACTCCCATCCCCCTTAGTCAGAAGTTATTTCTTCTTTCTTCTTATATAATTTTGCTTGAACCTCTTTGAAGACGTTTAACATGGAGTTTTATACTATAGTTATTTATGCATGTGACATCTTTTTACATCAACTTGTCTCTAATTTTTTGTTGTTGTTGGCTGACTTTTCTTCCACCAAGGACTGCTACTGGATATTTTTGATGTGGGTTTTTTTGTTGCCTTTCCTTATTATGAAAGTTAGTATAGGTGTGGTTGTTTCTAAGAGAGCTTTAAATAAATATAACAACTTTTATTTTTTTAAATGTATTAAAATCATTAACTTTTTTCTGAAATCTTTAGCCAATGAAACAAGAGAAGATAATGAAATGAGGTATAAATATTAGAAAGGAGGCAGCAATATTATAATTATTTGCAGAAGATATAATCATCTACTTGGAAACAAAGTCTATTCAGTTTATTTGAGAGAATAAACTGAAAAGCTTTAGGAAGATATAGAGAGTTTAGTCAGGTAGTTATAAACAGACAATACTTTTGCAATATGCCTATTAGAAAATATGTGTGTATGCGTTTTTGGGGAAAAATGATACAATCTAATAGCACTTGCAACAGAAGTAGAAAATGCTTAAGAATAAATTTATGAAGAAATCCTCAGGAGCATGGAAAGAATCAAA
Source organism: Homo sapiens (assembly GCF_000001405.40). Classification (NCBI taxonomy): domain Eukaryota; kingdom Metazoa; phylum Chordata; class Mammalia; order Primates; family Hominidae; genus Homo; species Homo sapiens. Next base: position 72,221,315 of record NC_000012.12, read on the forward strand.
CTCAAGAGTTATTGAATATCATGAAAGAAAGCTTAAATATATGAAGAAATATATCAAGTTCCATGGGACATCTTACTATTGTAAAACAAGCTAATCAGTAATCTTTTTTGTTTATTTATCTTCAGACCTTGAAAATTGTTCTAAAATTCATCCAGCAGACTAGAGATAACACTACTGAAATGGCAATTCAGGATGAGAAGAGTCCTACTCATTATTAAAATGTAGTATACAGCTATATTTAAAATAGTGTAGAAAAGGTGCAGAACTAGGGAGAGAGATCAGTAGTTTAAAGGAAAAAGTCCAGAAATAGACACAAGAATATGAACATATTTGACCTAGTAGGTGTGGCTTTTAAAAAGAACAAATAGAAGGTGGAATATTTCATATATGACATTAGGATAACTGACAATATTTGGGGAAAAAAACCAAATTTAGGTCACCAGAATACCATACATTCAGCTATCTACTAACTAACTAATAGTGGCTTAAAACAAGACCTGTTTTTATTATCTCTCACAGATTCTGTGGGTCAGGAATTTGAGAAAGGCCCATATGATTGGGTCTGGCTCATGGTTTCTCATGCAGTTGCAGTGAAATGATGGTTTGGAGCAACTGGGTTCTGGACCAGCATCTCTCTGTGTAGTGTCAGGGCCTCTTCATGTGGTTCCTTCTCATGGGTGACTTTGGGCTGCCTCACAATGTGGAAGCTTCAGGGACTCCAATTTCTTACATCGTGGTCGAAGGCTTCAGGAGCAAGTATTTCAGCAAGGAAGACAGAAACTAAATTGTATTTTGTGACTGAGCTATGGAAGTCTCACAGCATCATTTCTGCCACATTCTCTTGGTTAACACTGGAAAAAAAAAGTCTGTCCAGATTCAGGGGTAGAGGACATAGATCTGCTTTTCTGATGGAAGGGTTGTCAATATCAGGGTAAGAAGAGTATGTGGAATGAGAGAGATTGTTCCTGGTAAGAAGAGCATGTGGAATGAGAAAGATTGTTCCAGCCATCTTTGGAAAATATAGCCTGCCACACTAAGTCACAGGTTGCTGACTGGGACCTCTTGGATATATCTGAGGGAAAGTCTCCTCATCTCTCTGCACTGATAACTGGCATCGTAGATCAATGATTTTCAAATGTTAGCATGTGTCAGAATCACCTGGAGGCTTCTTAAAACAGAGATTTCTGGATCCTTTGGCTGGGTTTCTGATTTGTTATGTCTGGGGATAAGAGGATGAGAATTTGCATTTCTGGTAAGTTCCAAGGTGATATTGATGCTACTGGTCTGAGGAACACATTTTGAGAACCTCCATTCTACATTATAGCACTTGTTTCTTTTTGCTTACTAGTGTCCTTCATGTGGATGTCACGGCCTGAGTAAGCAATCCTTTTCCATGGTTAAATCCCTTTCAGGATTGTTCCAGACCCCTATCTGCATTCATAGTGGTCCTAGGGAGATCAGTGGGCTAAGGAGAATAGGAGAAATTTCCAGGCTTTGTGAATTTCAGCCAGCCTGCACCTCTACCATTTGGAGTGCAAAGGTTACTTGAGTTTTTGATGGAAAGGAATACTACAGAAGATAATTTGTTGCCATCTGACCCCTTAAAAAACTTTTGCCTCAGGTGCCAAAGATAAAGCTCCTCCTTTTATTAATATCTTTTATCAAAGGGTGGCTGATAACCTAAGACAAGTTCTATTTACATAGCACTGTGGTGATGGGCCCTATATGACAAGTGTTGCTATACTGCCCAAAACTTTTCACCAAGTCAGCATAGTGACCTGAGAAAGAAATTACAAGAGGCAATCTGGGATCCCAATATCAAATTTAAATATTCTTATAGTCTCCTTTTATGGCCTTAAAAAATTTCAGGTGTAATTAATCCATGTGAGAAGACCCGAGTTTAGCTGTAAAATCAGAAAATGAGGGCAGATTGTACAATATAGTCTCCTGGGATCTGAAATTGGTGATGATATCATGGAAGCTTGGCATCCAGAGGACATCTGGAGATTTATTTTTCCTGGTTTTACAACCCAAGGTTAACAGCTCTGAACTTTGTAGAAACCCTGATACTGTGACTGGTAAAGTTATTCATAGTTAACTTAAAAGCCAAGCCAAATAAAGTAGGCAGGGAAGAGCATCTTTTCCCATAATTGCTCAAGGGCAACTTTGAATATTGGGCTCTGATTCTGCCCATATTTATGTAAGATCACAGTTCTGTCTCAGTACACATAGAATCTCCCTTGTTCAGTTTTTTTAAAAAGATAAATATTTTCTAACCCCAAATTACAGACCTGTTAATGTAATAGAAATTTATCTACCTGTCTATCTTAATCAGTATATTCAGCAATATAAACTCAGTTGTATATAGATTTAAAAGATCTTAATTTTCTCCAATAATTGACTTCAAACATGCTTACTTGACATGCCCTTTTTCATCCATTATGTAGAACTTGGACAGATCTCATTGTTTTTCAGTCCCTTTCAGGTGTACAAAGTTCAGTTTAAGGATTCTATCTCGCATCCAGCTCAAAGCATTACCTAGCCTCTAATTCACCCTTGGCCAGGTAGAGATCCTTGCTAAGAAAGGGAACAGAACCTATCATTTTTCTTACTTTTTTTTTTTCTGGGCTACTCTATCCCTTGGGGTATTGAGGCCAGACGTAAAGGACGGGTGAAGGAGAAATGTCTCCTGTTTAAGTCACAATACTGCAGTCTTCTCTTTATAGAACTAATTATGTATATGTGTCCTTCCTATCTATCTATCCATCTATCTATCCATCTATCTATCTATCTATCTATCTATCTATCTATCTATCTATCTATCTATTTATCTATGTATGTATGTATGTATGTATCTATCTATCTATCTATCTATCTATCTATCTATCTATCTATCTATCATCTATCTATGCATGTATCTATTTCAAACTTTGGTTACAAATATGAAGGACCCCCCCCTAGGTAGACCAGAACCAGAGCTGTTAGGATTACAAGCCGCTAAAAATCTCTGGACCTTTGCAGGTGATATCTACCCAAGAAAGGGCTATAGGTTGTGGTGCTCCGGAATAATGGTTATGGTGATATGGGAAGGCCAGCCAGTCAGGTTGATCTCTCAATATTATATCCTATTCATACCAATTTGCTCCATATCACTAACTGGACTTTCGTGACTGAAAAATATTATTTTTTGCTTGGAATTTGGTTGTGAGAGCATCAGGTCACATGATTCCCCAAGGGAGGGTTGTGGGAGAGATTACTTTTTAGAGGTGGTAATAAGTTCTGCATCCTTATGAAAGAGGTGGGGTTCTCTGCAGGTTTTCTTCACACTGGGGGTTCCCCTGGATTGCCATTATGAGCTACTCAAAGATAGCAATCAACAAGCTATAATTCAGTAACAACAAAATTAACTGCTAGGATACAGTTTTATACTAATGAGTATTTTGCAGCATTTGTATTTTATAAACCACCTTAAGGCATTAAAGTGAGTTATAAACATCTTCAGTGGTATGATTATTAGCCATATCTCTCCACTAATGCAACTACACAAATAGTTACATTTTAAATAATCTTAACCTCCCCTCTCTTTAAAATAGTCATTATCTCACTCAGCACTTCATATTTTAATTCCAGTGTTTATTCTAATTTATTTATTAATACTGGATCTAAATAATTTTAGGTTTACTTTGATACTAATAGCACAAACTCCATTTGCATTGATCTTAAGTAAACTTTCCTATTCTTGAAGCATTGGAGTTCTGCAGAGAAATACACCTCTTCCTGGCAAATAATAATATAATAGTATGCTGTCTGTCATATACTAAAATGATGTAATTGACCAACTGTCAGGAAATGTTCTCTAAAGTTTTTTTCTAGTGATCATGTTGAATTACTCTGTTGGCTGTAGTTAGAGATGTAGTCTTGCAGAAAGATATTTCTCTCTTTGAAGTTAATTGACTCAGATAAGGAATGAATGTGCAACATTAGCCTCATAAGCAGCACACCCTCTAACCAAGTGAATTGCTTAAATAATATTTATCACCATTATGTATAAAAATCTATTGTTTATTAAAAGCCTAGTGCATCTGCTTCTCACACAGCATTAATTCATCTCCAGCTATCCAGAAAGTTAGGGAAAAGCCAGTGGAAAGACAGAAGAAAGCCAGGAAATAGGAGTAGGTAATGGGAGGATGAAGTATCAGTTAGCTTTAAGCACAAACACTAAAATTCATTCAAAAGCTTTTCATCCCAGTTTGGAAAAAATAATTGTTTTGGTTTCCTTGTATAAAAGGTGAGTTATTAAGCATTTAATGTAATACGTGAAAGGTCAACTGTATTGTTTCTTTCCTTCTGTTTATAATCACACCATTCTCCTTGGGAGGTGGGAGATCAGTTATTGTATTCCTAAAGAAACCAGGAAAATGAATATTTCTTTTGTGGTCCTGAAGTTTGAAGTTTCATGATGTGCCATTAAAACGGGGCCAGGAAAAGAAAGGCTAGGTGTTTGTATTTTTCCCAGGGGTTGGAGAAATGAAGGTTTGACCTTTCAGGAAGTAGGTGAGTTCCTCAGAGAAGAAGGAACCAGAGACCGATTGTTAATTTATGTGGTGAAGACTGGGATCTCACCAGAAAGTAGTGTCTAAGAGGTGTCATGACTCCGCAGATGATATTTGTCTAGGTGTCAGCAAGGACCGTGTACCAAAAGCTGTCCTGTGGGGACCACAGATTAGCTGGATGCTAATGATATGAATGCCATCTGCAGAACAGTCCACCTTTGGGTGTGCATAGGCATGATGAGCATTTCAAGTGAGACCAGGATCTCTCCTTTATTTCCACAGGATTTTGTAATCCCACGGGTCTTTATAAGCTTCTGTGAGAGGGAAGGAAGCCATTTAAAATGACTGACATTGCTGACCATGGCAAGTGAGGTTCCAGAGGTAGATTTGATTTGATATAAAAAGGAAACATAACATTCTTAGCCCTTTGTGTATGAGGAGAAACTGCTCATATTAGCATGCACACCTTACCTCGTTCACTCCTGAGAATTTCTAAAGGGATTAGTGGTATTCCTTGCTGTTCACATTCTCATTCCCTTTAAACTCCGATATATACAAAAGTGTGGAAACAATATTTTTATTTTGGGGAAACTCTTTAAAATAGGGTCAATTAATTTTAACTGCAGCGTATTTGAATGGAAAAATAGTTATATTAATAAAATATAAATTACTTCTGTTTAGTAGAAATTCAAGTCATGATCTTTAGCTTATATAAAATAAGCAGACTGTAAGCCTCATTGCTGATTTGTGAATTCCAGAGACCAAATAGTAGTTATTTGACTTACTGCAATGAAGAATACACTAAAGTGATAAATAGAATCATCATTTAAATGTGCTGAGGCTGGCATAATTTAATATGTCATGGAGTTGGCATAAAGTATTTAGAAGTACTCTAAAATGAACAACAGACAAACATAACCTCTAATTGAACTGGCACATGGCTGAGAAACTACAGATTTTTGTTACGATTCTATCAGAGGATAATTAGCTGAAAAGATAAGAATGGTACCTAAGATTAATGATAACATCAATAAGCTACTTGAACTCAATAGGCTGAAAAATGAATATGTGGAACACAGCAATTAAGCACCTTTGGTTTAAATAAAGCACCCTTAGTTGCCAGGAAAATTTCCCATGGCATTTGTGTTTCCATTGGGAAATATTTCTTGGGATTGGGATAACCAAAGCATTTCAAAAACAATGGAAACAATAACCAAGGTAAAAATATTTTAGAAATAAATAAACTCTTCCTGGCTATTAATATCTTAAGTTCTTAGCAAAATAACAGAGTAGATATTAAGAAAAAAAGTATTATATATGTGTATTAGTCTTTTCTCATGCTGCTAATAAAGACATACCTAAGACTGGAAATTTATAAAGGAAAGCAGTTTAATGGACTCATAGTTCCACATGGCTGGGAAGGCATCACAGTCATGAAAGAAGACAAAGGAGAAGAGCAAAGAGATGTCTTTCATGGTGGCAGGCAAGCGAGAGCTTGTGCAGGGAAACCCCCCATTTATAAAACCATCAATCTCATGAAACTTATTCACTATCACAAGAACAGCATGGGAAAGACTCACCCCTGTGATTCAATTAACTCCAACTGGGTCCCTCCCATGACATGTGGGAATTGTGAGAGCTACAATCCAAGATGAGATATGGGGGGACACAGCCAAACAATATCGTTCTGCCCCAGGCCCCTCCCAAACCTCATGTCCTCACATTTCAAAACCAATCATACCTTCCCAACAGTCTCCCAAAGTCTTAACTAATTTCAGCATTAACTCAAAAGTCCACAGTCCAAAGTCTCATCTGAGACACAGCAAATCCCTTCTGCCTATGAGCCCGTAAAATCAAAAGCAAGTTAGTTACTTCCTAGATACAATGGGGGTACAGGCTTTGGGTAAATACAACCATTCCAAATGTGACAAATTGGCCAAAATGAAGGGGCTACAGGACCCATGCATTCTGGGAAATCCAGTGGGGTAGTCAAATCTTAAAGCTCCAAAATGATCTTCTTTGGCTCCATGTCTCATATCCAGGTCATGCTGATGCAAGATGTGGCCTCCCATGGCCTTGGGCAGCTCTGCCCCTGTGGCTTTGCAGGATATAGACCCCCTCCTGGCTGCTTTCATGGGCTGGCATTGAGTATCTGCAGCTTTTCCAGGTGCACAGTGCAAGCTGTCAGTGGATCTACCATTCTGGTGTCTGCATGACAGTGTCCCTCTTCTTACAGTTCCACTAGATAGTGCCCCAAGTTGGGACTCTGTGTGGGGGCTCCAACCCCACATTTCTTTTCCTCACTGCCCTAGCAGAGGTTCTCCATGAGGGCTCTGACCCTGTAGCACACCTCTATCTGGACAGCCAGGCATTTCCATCCAGCCTCTGAAATCTAGGTGGAGGTTCCCAAACCTCGGTTCTTTACTTCTGTGCAACTAGAGGCCCAACACCACATGTAAGCTTCCAAGGCTTGGGGCTTGTACCCTCTGAAGCAATGTCTTGGGCTGGATGTTGGCCTGTTTTAGCCATGGCGTGAATGCAGGGGACCAAGTTCAGAGACTGCACAAAGCATGAAGGCCCTGGACTTGGCCCAGGAAACCATTTTTTTCCCTCCTAGGCCTCTGGGCCTGTGATGGGAGGGCCTGCTGTGAAGACCTCTGATGTGCCCTGGAGACATTTTCCCCATTGTCTTTACTTATGCAAATTTTTACAGCTGGCTTGAATTTCTCCTCAGAAAATGAGTTTTTCTTGTCTATTGCATCATCAGGCTGCAAGTTTTCTAAATTTTTATGCTCTGCTTTCCTTTTAAACATGAGTTCCAACTCCAAACCATGTCTTTGTGAATGAATAAAACTGAATGCTTTTAACAATATCCAAGTCATCTCTTGAATGCTTTGCTGCTTAGAAATTTCTTCTGCCAGATGTCCAAAATCATCTCACTCAAGTTCAAAGTTCCACAAATCTCTAGGGCAGGGCAAAATGCTGCCAGTCTCTTTGCTAAGGCATCACAAGAGTCACCTTTTCTCCAGTTCCCAACAAGTTCCTCATCTCCATCTGAGAGCACCTAAACCTGAACTTCATTGTCCATATCACTATCAGCATTTTGGTCACAACCATTCAACAAGTCTCTAGGGAGTTCCAAACTTTCCCACATCTTTCTGTCTTTTTCTGAGCCCTCCAAACTGTTCCAACCTCTGCCTGTTACCCAATTCCAAAGTTGCTTTCACATTTTCAGGTATCTTTACAGCAGTACCCCATTTCTGGTACTAATGTCTGCATTAGCCCATTCTCATGCTGCTAAAAAAGACACACCCAAGACTGGTAATTTAAAAAGGAAAGAAGTTTAATGGACTCACAGTTTCATACGGGTGGGGAGGCCTCACAGTCATAGCAGAAGATGAAGGAAGAGAAAAGGCATGTCTTACATGGTAGCAGGCAAGAGTGAGCTTGTGCAGGGGAACTCCCCTTTTTAAAACCATCAGATCTCATGAGACTTATTCACTATCACGAGAACAACATGGGAAAGACCTCCCCTCCATGATTCAATTACCTCCTACAAGGTCCCACTCATGATGTGGGAATTGTGGGAGCTACAATCCAAGATGAGATTTGGGTGAGGACACAGCCAAACCATATCAATATGCATCCAGAGAGTAGTAAAAGCCTGGGTGATAAGCAGCATGGGCTGATACAGAACAGATCATGTCAGACATTGAATTGCATTCCTTTGATCAAAATACAAAGTGGATGAAGGGAATTCAGTAGATGTAATATATCTGGACTTTACTAAAATCATTTGCTTAATGCCTTATGAAAGCTTACTTAATATTTTAATTAAAATTAGCTTAACTATTTATACCGATACATAGCTTGAAATAAAGTTATACATAAAAAAGGGAGATGAGATTTAGCAGCAATCTATGAGGTGAGGAAGAGGGAAGTGGAAAACTCCCTAATGCACACTAGAAGAATAATTGGTCTTTAAAGATAATGAGAACTGTCAAAAGAGGAAATAGGTGAGATGCTAATACCATGTTACAGGTCAGAATGGACTTCTCAAATGTGATAACAGTATTCATTTTAAGAGACATGGGAAAATAAATATTTTTACAATATAAGAAATGACACAAATATTGTCAGTCTCTAGATGTGCTAGCAAGAGGGTCTCTGGTCTGCCACCACCTGACGGTTTTGTTCCTACAAAACTCCTGAGTTATCAAAAGTTGTGTTCTAAAAACTGTTGTGCCCATGAGAACAAAAGGGCCTTAAGACCTAAAGAGCTGTAAAAAAAACTTGCAAAAATAAAATTGTATTTTCTGAAGAAATTTTAATAAATATTACCTTAGACCCTATCTAGGTTTGGGTCATTAATAATGCTCTTTGTTTTCTCATCACTATTAACGATACCACCAGCACAGTGCTTCCGTACATTCTTACCATACTTATTACATCTATTATGATAAAGAAAGCAGCTGTCGTAACAGTTGCTTCAGTTTTACTTCTTACATGAATGCATTGGCAATAAGACATGATCCTGATATAACCAATAATCTGTGTTTTGCAAAACATGTTTTCTAATGTATCAATCACATCATAGTCAATTTAGAATATGGAAATTCACTCTGTCAAATAAAAGCTGTCCGTAGAAGTAAATTGTTCAGCCACATACCCAAAATATATCTCATTCAGAGTAACTGGTTAAAATTTGCAGTAGCTGCTACTAGATAGAGAAATCCTATGATGGCCGAGTAAACTGATATTTTAACAAATTCCAGAGCTCCCCACTCACAACCCTAAGCTTTTCCCAGAGTGGCTGATTGCAAAAGCTCTCAGGACACAGAAAGACCCATCGACCTTATCAGAGCAGGGAGATGCATTTTCCTTCTACTCTCCTTACTGTAAAATTCCACTCCAGCCAAATATGCTTATAAAAGTTGGTTGTGCCTTATAAACTGCTTAAGCTTATAAACTAGAAAATACGGTAATGTAGCATAAAACTCTATTTAAGGCAAACATACTGTTACTATGAATCATTATTCTGTTTTCATTCGCTGTGTAGAAATGTAAATGAAAAATAACATACTTGGGTTATTTTAGGACCAAGTATTAATATAAATTGTGAAAAAGAAGTAACAAAAATGATGTTGTCATTTTGGAATTTGGACATTTATCAACACTTAGATATCAGAACTATGTCATCAGAATTAATTCACATACTAGGCAGAAATTTAGCAGATAAGAGTTTTAACTGTCTTTTGATTAAAAAAATTAGAAGTACATAAAAATATATTTTTATGTTACAACCAAGGACAGGCATGAAAATTAAAAAAAAATCAGCACACACAAAAGCAACCAAAATATTGAATGTTTCCCTAGTCACTGAGACAACTGTAACATCTGGGATCAGGTTTTTATAGGTTCTAGTATTTAGTTACATTCCCCTCCCTCTCAAATCACAGTCTAATGTGCCAATATCCAAGTTTGAAAAACATATTATGCAGTATTGACAAAATTTACTTGCTTAAGGAAGTCCCCCACCCCCTTTTGGAGGAATATTAAGCTTGATAAGAGTTCTGTTGTGCGATAGTTTAGGAAATTAACTTATTAAATTCCCATCAGACTTTGGAGTGGCCCATGAGGCCATTACCGCCTTAGCTGCTTTTGTGTTATCAAACCAAACAGGTGTTTTTCTTAGAGCCCAGAAAATGCAGAACATAGAATCTCTAGGGAAACCAGCTTCTATGGTCTGTAGCTGGTTACTTCTAAAAAAAACTACCCATTTTCTTGGGTCACAAGATCTTCTGGAAAGACTATGCTTAGCTCAGATTTGGTAACCTCCTTGCTGAACATACTGCTTATTATTTAGGTGGTGGATGACATCTGATTAGGAAGCACCACTTCAGAGTTAATGGTGGGGACAACTGGAGTTAGGCTATGGAGTGATGACAAGGGGTGATGGTTGTATAATCAGAGCTGGAGTAGAATTTTTTTGCCATAAGGAAAACTTTTATTTTGTGTAGGAAAGCTAATTAACGTGCCTTTTAGTTACAGCAGACCCAAGACCTAGTCTGAATGGAAAGAAAACTACCCCTATTTCTCTGTTGAGGAATAAAATGAATTTGTAAATTGTCTACTGGCTGCTAGGTAGGGACTTGTTTGAAAATGTACTTGGGATTTTGGTTTTATTCAGGTATGGCGGGGCCAAGAGATAAAGAGACAACTGCCACTGAAAAGATAGTTTGTTGCTCATAGTTCTCAAGAGGAGGGGTACACCAGGCCATGCAGGGCAACATGGGAAGTGCCAGGGTCAGTCAGGAGATAGAATGATCAAGGGCAGGCACAGACAGAGACTTTACTGTGCTTCTCACAGGAAGGAGTGGGCCAGGCAGGTGAGCTGCTCAGCAGTCTTCGGATTGGACAGTTTGAATAACTGTAGCAGGCTCTGGCCTATAGAGGTGGTCCCTCCTTGTCTAGTACCTGGCCCTAGGGTAATCGGGGCAGAGGAATGCTGCCTCCAGGTGTGTGAAAGTCAGATATAGAAGGTGCTGGAATATGGGCTTTGGTTTGGTGAGTTTGTGTGTAAAAGTGGACTCCAGGGTGAATAGTTTGCTATTTTTAAGAATTGACTACATCTAGGAGGGGCAGTCTCTCCCTAGTCAGCGAGGGCCCAGATAACAGAGCATCAAGAATACAGAAAATAACAAAATAATAGAGTTAATACAGAACTCTAGAATCAGGAGAAGGGTCTAGGTGGTGAGAAATTTGAGAACTCAGCCCCAGCATCCTCTTTGCTAAACTCTAGTATTCCAGGGAGGCTCTGACCTTTGCATTTGCCATTTTCCGCTACCTAAACTACTCTTGCCAAACATATCCCCATGGCTTCTTCTCCTATTTCCTTTATGTCTTTTTCTAAATAACACCTTTACAGTAAATGTTTCCCCTACCTCCCTACCTAAAAGTGTACCCCTCCCTACAGTTTTTCTGCCTTCTCTGCTTTATTTCTTTTGAAAACACTACTCTCTAACTTATCTATTTTACTTATTTATTTTGTGTATTATCTCTCTTAAATAAGTGGACTCCAAACTCTATCAAAGCAGGGGATTTAATCTGTTTTGTTCACTTCTGTAGCTCCATGATCTTGAATAGTGCCTCTACAGGGTAAGAGCTTAATATATATTTGTTAATGAATGAGTAAGTGAATGAGAAGTGATGGTCAACATTCAACTTAAAGCTGTTTTCCATCTTCCATTCTCCCCAAGCCTCCAATAACATTCTGTTATACACACAACCTTTAGTAATAGAGCTCTGGACAATGAACCAGGAGTATGTCCAACTTGGGATGAAATGGTGCCGAGAAGGTGGAAGCTCCAGGAGAAAACGCTCTTATGAATCAAGAATTAGGCAAGAGCAGGAATTCAGAGTAAAATTGGAATAAAAGGTATCAAGAAGAATTGTAGGCAACTCTGCCCTTATTCTCAAGGGGGGCAGAAAGGGATTTGTATTTCCTCAAGCATGTAGTGTGGGGAGTCAAAATCATTTTATCTGAACATTCAGAGAAGAAGTGACTCGAGATGGCTAGAGCGCTGGGGCACACAGGTGTTACAGTGACATTGCAAGATGGTCTTAGGTAAAACACAGAAGCATTAAAAAAGTATAATAATAAGAAGCAAATTTGTTTTCTAAGTTAAATGCAATTCATAAAAGAAAGGAAGCACAGTGGGTTTTGCTGAAGAGTGAGTAGACTAGGCCATTACTTAGCGTTATTCTAGGTACTTGATGATGTTTTCAGTGCATTTCACTGATAAATAAGAAACACAAAACCTCAGCATAAAATGTTATAGTTTGTGAGTCAACAGTACACGAACATGTGCAATAAATAATAGAGCAGCCTCTAGATAAATAAAAACTCTGCTATTGTTTCCAAATGCTTGGCAAAGTTATTCTCTTTTACAAGATTCCACTTTTTTCCCAAGATTCCACTTAGAAGATTTTTTTTCAGCCAATGCAATACTTGCTTTGTTTTGTCACCTAATTTTTCAATCACCTAGCTCTAGCTGATAATAAAAGAAATGAATAATATCCCAAGTGTATGCTCAATTCTGTGTTGTATTACTAATGGTAAGAACTACTTGTACATAACAGGAGACCATTTCTCTAAAGTGAGGATAATTTATTTTTATTTGTGATATGACACATCTGCTGTACACCTATGAAACAAGAAAACACTAAATTTTATTGTAAAGCTTGCTGATGAGATACAATAAACTTCAAACATATTTCAGTATAAGTGAATTAAAGAATTTTTTTTCTCTAAGTGATACGGAGAAAATATTTAAATGTCGAGTATAGCCTTGTAATTTTTATGTTCACAGCTTTGTCAAAAAGATGTTATCTTCCCAGCAGCCTCGTGTTATTGAAGATGCAGACCTTAAATCAACAGCTGTTACACCTCCAGCAAGTTATGAAATTTTCCTGATTTATAGCAATCATTCTTTTTATTTCTTTTCTCAGTCAAGCAGGGAAATTAGGGTTATTTTCATGTAAAAGATGCACACATTGTGACTTAGTATTTTACATAATCCACATTTCTTACCTTTTAAATTAAATTTCCATTGAAATGAATGTGATCTGAGGGCTCTTTTTGATTAATAAGAGAAATAGTGTTAGTAAATAGAAGGTAGAGACAACATTATTTACATAAAAATAAAGTGAAGATAACACAGACATAATAACGAGAATCATTTTTATGATTTGTATTATAATGATAAATCAGAACAAAATGAAAATAAAGGCTGAAGAGATTTGGAGTAGTAGAGGAGAGAAAATAATGTAGTGTTATTTTTGTTGGTTTTAGGTGCTTTAAAAAAAATCTACTTTGTCTTAAATTGATCAGAGAAGGTTACCTTTTAATGAATTTAGGTAAACAACACTTGAAGTTAAAATCCACTTCTTAATAAGCTAAAAATGACCTGTAGTTCCTAAAATTTTTTGAGCAAATTAAGGACAACTAACATTTATTAAGTCTTTGCAATGCAATAAATAATGTACTAAAAGATTTTCTATAGAGCATCTAATATAATACTGATAACTGCAGAGCTCAGAGCTATTATGGTACCTAGTTCACTGGTAAGGAAATTGGAACTCAGTGTCTGGCACAGTGCTTAGACAGTAAAACAAAAATTCAAATCCAGGTCATCTGACTCATCAGAAGAAAGTCTTCAACATATGGAACTCTTAAGTATTATGTAACACGAACTCTTGATGATGCTGGAGACAATCTCTGGAGAATCAAGCACCCTCTGGCAGAAGCGACAAATATAGAAACCATCATGTTCTTGATAGGGGTCTTCAGGGGACACAGTTATGGGTTAATGAGGTTTATTTTATTGATCCAGTACATACTGTTTCAGAGGATGCTATGTACCGGCACTGTTCTAAGAACTTTAAAAATATTAACTGCATGACATAGATATTATCATCATCCCATTTCACAAGTGAAAAAACTGAGGCATGATTTAAATAACTTGTACAAGGAAACACAGCTGACAAACTGTAGAGATTTGACATAAAGGAGTTTAGCCTTACAGTCTGCACTCTTAACCATACTACGCTAAGGCAGCCTGTCTTTATCAGTCAGCTATTGCTTTAACAAGCCATTCCCTGAATCAGTGTCTTCCAACAAGCATATAATTTTCTTGTTCACAGGTCTTCAGGTTAACCATGGTTTGGCCAATCTATGAAGGGCTCAGCTGGATGGCTCTGTTTCCAATAGTGGTTCAGATGGCTTTCAGTCCAGGCTATAGATTGGATTCAGGTTAACTATGTATGTGATTTCTGGTAGGCTTAGGCTGAAGGGTGAGCAGCTTCCCAGGGTATGCTTCTCAGGCAGATCATCAGAGCACTATAGCCAAGCCCAAATTACACTAGCGTATTTAAGGCCTCTCCTCACAAAACATCTGCTAACATGCCATTGGCCAAAGCAAGTCTGGCCAATGGACAACATCAGTAATGTGGGAAGTATATTATTGCACTGGAGTGAGGGAGTACAAATGGGAAGTTTTGAAGTGCCAAAGCAGATTATGAGTCTTTTGAGAAAAATATTTTGTGATGGCATGATTTTCCCAGAGCCACTTAGAACAGACATTTCTCTCTGGTTTTATGAAAGTATACTGTCTTTCTTCAAGGTTCAGAAGAGTCACATTTTCCAAAATTAATGTTCATCATTTTTACTGACCATAACTAGTTAAAGCTCTCCATCATTACGTAGCCTCATGGTTTTTCTTTTGGTATGTTTTTAAATATAAAATTACTCAGAAAAAAACAGATGGAAGATGAAAGATTAAGCCTATTCTTCTGTAGTGCCAAATCAAGGCAGAGTTGCAGCTATACTATGAAAACAAGTATTCAATTAAAGATGTTATTCATGTGACTCACCAGTTACTAATACAATTATAATGCTTGTTGCAATGTAAAGCAGTTCAATCACATCAAAGAAAAATAACTATAAATACAAAATGCTTATTTCTCACCTTTTTATTTGCAGGAACTTGAAGCATCTACATCATATCTTGTAGCTGTCAGTTTTCAATCATTATTTATGTCAAATATATTATTGACTGATGAAAGCCAGATAGTCCTTTCTCCTCTTAAAACACTTAGAATAGTTGCTCTGTGTCTTGCATTTTTGACAAGTACTTTTTGTGTCAAAAACATATTATGCCATAGCATAAATCATTGCTTCAGGCCCTGCATGCATGATTTTCTAAACAAAGATAAAATCTGTTAGGTTTCTTTAAAGTGAAAAAAACCCATAAAACAAAACAAAATCCAAAAAACAGTATGCTGCATACCATCCACAGCCTTTTAGATCAATTTATAGTACTTGCTTTGCACAAGTATGCAGCACATTTAATTGGGAATGTGGATGAGACTTTTTTTTCTATTAATAACATGGAAATAACAATGACAACTTTAATTAGGAGAATACATGCTTTAATTGATTTGTTATTTTCATGGGAATTTCTGTATCTTGTACCCTAACAAAAGAAATCTTGCAATGCTGTCAAAGCTTATATGGGTTTTGGGATTTTTTAAAATTTGGTTTAGATGGCCCTGAGAAATGTTTCTTTATTTTATGTCTCTCTCCTCTTTTAAGTAAAATTGTTGGTTCATGGGAAAGAGCTATTCTCTAGAGTTAAAGCAGCTGGTGTATCAATATCCATATTTTTAAGCTGAAATAGCATAGTGAGATCATTGTGGATAGAAAAGAAGGAAATAAATCAGCTTGTGAGATATTATCATTCACTTTACATCATGAAAAACAAATACAGCTGTCATATTCTAACATTCACCAAAGATAAATTGAAAATGTATATCATTATTTAACATAGTGAAAAAAGAGAGAGTTTCTATGACTAAAAGATGTACAATATTTTGGTAATATGTTTTATTAAAGCAAAGTAAATTGGCTACTAGGTGGTAAAATTGCAGAGAGCTTATCAAAGTGCTGAATCAGAGACTCAATGTATAGAAAAAATCATAACCATTTAGGAGCAAACCATATATTGGGGTTTATTAATCTCTAGAATAACCTATAACATTGTGTGGCATTTGCAAAATATAATAAAATATTGAAGTACCTTTTTGTTTTCTCTGCACCTCTCATCTCTTTTGGGAAAAGGACTCGGTTTCCCCCATGCTACTGTTCTTGCATTGGTGAGGGAGTTCTCACGAGATCTGATGGTTTAAAAATGACAGTTTCCACTGTGTGCACTCTCTCTCCCGCCACCTTGTAAAGAAGGTGCCTGCTTCCTCTTTGCCTATGGCCATGATTGCAAGTTTCCTGAGGCCTCCCTAGCCATGCGGAACTGTGGGTCAATTAAACCTTCTTTGTTTATAAATTTCCCAGTCTCAGGTAGTAACTCTATAGCAGTGCAGAAACAGACTAATTCAGGGACTCTTAGGCAAACCAGGATCTAGGGACACCATACCTATGTGGGATCTGGAAAAGAGCCATCCATGTAGCACAAAGAGCTAGTGCAAAGGCCTTGAGGCAGGAGTGTGCCTGGCTGGTACAAAGTCCAGCAAGACCACTGTGGTTAAGGCCAATGAGCAAAAGAGAGGGAAGAAGAAAAAGAAGGAGGCCAGGCATTTCATTAGTGGCCCTGAAAGCCATGGTAAGGACTTTGGCATTGACATTGAATGAAATGGAGAGTCACTGGAGGGATTTATCCAAGGGGTGACATGACTTGACTTGTGTTTGAAAAGGATGGTAGAATGTAGGTGGCCTAGAATAAAAGCAGGGATTTCCTTTAGAAGCCATCGTAATAAGTTAGGTGAGAAAAGATGGTGAGTGGTACTGGGTGTGGATGGTAGCAGAAGCAGTGGTCAGAAGTGGTCAGATCCTTAATATATATATATATATATATATATATATATATATATATATATATATACATATATATATACACATTATATATATATATATATATATATACACATACATATATATATATTTTTTTTTAACTTTTTTTGATAAATTATACTTTAAGTTCTGGGGTACATGTGCAGAATGTGCAGTTTTGTTACATAGGTATGCACGTGCCATGCTGGTTTGCTGCACCCATCAACTCGTCACCTACATTAGGTATTTCTCCTAATGCTATCCCTCCCCTAGCCCCCCACCAAACTGGCAGGCCCCGGTGTATGATGTTCCCCTCCCTGTGTCCATGTGTTCTCCCTGTTCAACTCCCACTTATGAGTGAGAACATGCGGTGTTTGGTTTTCTGTTTTTGTGATAGTTTGCTAAGAATGATGGTTTCCAGCTTCATCCATGTCCCTGCAAAAGACATGAACTCATCCTTTTTTATGGCCGCATAGTATTCCATGGTGTATATGTGCCACATTTTCTTTATCAAGTCTATCATTGATGGGCATTTGGGTTGGTTCCAAGTCTGCTATTGTGAATGATGCCACAATAAACATATGTGTGCATGTGTCTTTACAGGAGAATGATTTATAATCCTTTGGGTATATACCCAGTAATGGGATTGCTGGGTCAAATGGTATTTCTGGTTCTAGATCCTTGAGGAATAGCCACACTGTCTTCCACAATGGTTGAACTAATTTACACTCCCCCCAACAGTGTAAAAGCATTCCTATTTCTCCACATCCTCTCCAGCATCTGTTGTTTCCTGACTTTTTAATGATTGCTATTCTAACTGGCGAGAGATGGTATCTCATTGTGGTTTTGATCTGCATTTCTCTGATGGCCAGTGATGATGAGCATTTCTTCATGTGTTTGTTGGTTGCATAAATGTCTTCTTTTGAGAAGTATCTGTTCATATCCTTTGCCCACTTTTTGATTTTTTTTTTTTTCTTGTAAATTTGTTTAAGTTCTTTATGGATTCTGGATATTAGCCCTTTGTCAGATGGACAGATTGCAAACATTTTCTCCCATTCTGTAGGTTGCCTGTTCACTCTGATGATAGTTTCTTTTGCTGTGCTGAAGCTCTTTAGTTTAATTAGACCCCATTTGTCAATTTTGGCTTGTGTTGCCACAGCTTTTGGTGTTTTAGACATGAAGTCTTTGCCCATGCCTATGTCCTGAATGGTATTGCCCAGGTTTTCTTCTAGGATTCTTATGGTTTTAGGTCTTAGATCCTTGATAGATTTTAAAGGTAAAACCAGTGGCATTTGCTGATGGATTTCAATGTGGACTGTGAGAAAGAGAGAGGAGTCAAGAATGACTTTAAGATGTTTTGCCTGAGCAATGGAAGGATGCAATTGCTATTTCCTATGATGTTAGAGATCATCGATGGAGCAGGTTTTAGGGGAACTATTAGATATATTGAGACATATCAATAGACACGAGATGTCTATAAAATAGCCAAAATAGTTCTCCTAAATAAAACTGAGATACTATCATAAGAGACAAAAGTCTTGAATAGATCAAGTCTGAGGACACAGCATCCATTACCTAAAGTAATGGATTACTTGTAGTACCTTGAGAAAAGAAAATGAACTTTGTCTGTCCTATTTTCAGTGAGCTTAAGCTAGAATTTTAATAGTGCTTCTTTTCTAAGTTCTCCAAATCTGTTCTTTCAACAATTAGGCATAGAATTTTTGTATAGTTTTACTGGAACTACTTTTGCGTGTGTTCTGTTCTCCAAAAGTTCTTGCAGTGCTCTGGAGTGTATTTAATTGTTAACTTTTAAATAAAAATCTATGTGTTCTTTTAACACCCCCTCATTTTGACCTTCTGTTTTCTTAAAGTTTCTTTCACCTTTTTTCATTTTTAAATCACTTATTCAGTTTTATTTTTAAAGTTATATGTGTGAATTGTAGAATATTTGGGAAATACATATGCACGGCAAGATTAAAATCCTACACCAAAAATAAAAACTGCTAACATTTCAGGGTATGTCCTTCTCACATTTTATATATATATATATATATATATTTGTGTGTATATATATATATTTGTGTATATATATATTTGAATATATATGTAAATCAAATGACATTATATTGTACATTCTGTTTTTGTAACTCACCATTTTTACTTACATAAGGTCATCTTGACAGATAACATGGAGGCATAATAACGATCAGATAGTTCCAAGCTCCTCTTTGTCATCTGTTAACCTTATACCATCTGTCCTTAGCAGAGAGCTTTTTGCTTCCTTTCTTTCTCCAATTAATTTTTTTTTTTGTTTTTTGAGACAGAGTCTCACTTTGTCACCCAGGCTGGAGTACAGTGGCGCGATCTCGGCTCACTGCAAGCTCCGCCTCCCAGGTTCACGCCATTCTCCTGCCTCAGCCTCCCAAGTAGCTGGGACTACAGGCGCCCACCACCATGCCCGGCTAATTTCTTTTTGTATTTTTAATAGATACTGGGTTTCACCGTGTTAGCCAGGATGGTCTCGATTTCCTGACCTCGTGATCCACCCACCTCGGCCTCCCAAAGTGCTGGGATTACAGGCATGAGCCACCGCGCCTGGCCTCTCCAATCAATTTTAAAAAATAAACAAATTTATCCGGGCATTATTTTTTCACACATCTCGATTCAATCTAGAAATTTAGCCATTGTCTCAATTTTTAACAGCCGCAAGCCACTCTCTTACCTTCATTTGTCCATTATTGTGTGCCTATAGTGATCACTGGTGGTCGTGTATTATTCATTCCTCTCTTCCTTCTTCCTAAAAGGACTCCTATTTGTTTTAATTATCCCCAATCCAACCCTGCACCCCACTCCCAATACAAGCAGCCTTGTGTCTAATCGATTCCACTTAAAACAGTTAACATACAAGGACTTTTTTGGTGGGCAATACCACAAATTTTAATAAGTGTAGACTGATGTCACCACCACTACAATCAAGACACAGAACAGTTCTGTCACCTCAAAACACATCACTGTGCTATCCCTTTGTAGTCACATACTCCCCTTTATCCCTAACTCCTGGGGACTGCTGATCTAGTTTTTTTTACTATCATTTCATCTTTTTGTGGGTGTCATGTAAATGGAATCTATATTGTATAACCTTTTGAGATTGGCTTCTTTCACTATGCATAATGCCTTTGAAATATATCCAAGTTGTGTGCATTAATACTTTATTATTGCACAGTAGTATTTATTATAAATATGTACCACAGTTTGTTTATCCTTTTGTTATTTATTCATTTACACACTGAAAGACATTTCAGTTGTCTCTAATTTGGGGAATCAGGAATAGAGCTGTAGTAAACGTTTGTGTGTGAGTTTTTGTATGAGCATTTTCCTAGGGCAAACACTCAGGACTAGGATTAATGGCCATAGAGTAAGTGTATATTTAACTTCATAAGAAGCTGCCAAACAGTCTTCCAGAGTGGCTGAGTCAGTTTTTGTTGCCATCAGCAATTTACAAGAGTACCTGCTGCTCTGAATGTTCACCTGCTTATGGTATCATCATCAGTCTTTTCGTTAGGTTTTTTTCAACGTAGTCATTCTCATAGGTATGTACTGGTCTCTTGTCATGGTTTTAATTTGCATTACCCCAGTGGCTAATGATGTTGAACATATTTCATGCATTTATTTGCTTTACATATGTCCACTGTGATGAAGTTCAAGTCTCTTGCCCATTTTTAGAGTTATTTTGTTATTGAGTTATAACAGTTCTTTATTTATTCTGGATACAAATTCTTTGTCAGATGTATAATTTAAATATACTTTCACCAATCTACACATTATTTCATCATTACATTTCAGTGTCTTTCATAGAACACATTTTTTAAAAAGATAATGTTCATCAATTTTTAAATAGATTGTATGGTATCAAATCTAAGACATCTTTGCATAATCTTGGGTCATGAAGACTTTCTTTGAATTTGGTTATCAAAGTTGCTTTTTTGAGCTCCCTCTTCTCCACTGTCTCCCCAGCAATTTATAGTTCCCTGCATTCCCTTTTTGCGGTTGGAAAGCTGGGGCTTTATTTACCCTGCTCTGCCACATTTCCAACTCCACGGCCAAGCCTCAAGAAGCTAGAGAGAGAAAAAATTAGTGGGGGTTCTTGCCACCCTCTTGGGACCACCGCTCCTCTGCTCAGAGAAGAAATTTATGCCAGAAATATCTTAAGGTACAGTATTCTTTTTTCTATATTTTGGACAAGCCCTCTGTTTTGGGTGCTGTAGGGTGCTGCTGCCATGACTGTTGCTGCCAGTAGACTCTCCTGCTTCTTGAGCGGGAAGTAGTGGGCTGCTTCTTGAGATGTTTCCATCCACACCAGTGTTCACATCTGGCTTTTGGGTTGCCTTGAGATCAGGCAGTGAAAAAATGGAGGGCAAAAAAGATAACTCACTGCTGGTCAGAGGTGATTTGAATCCCATCTCCTTTCCCAATCTGACTGGTACTACTCACTCAAGTAGATACTTGCATTTTGTCCTATGTGTTTTGTCCTGGTTTTTATTACCGCATTCAATGGGAGAGACAGGTTGGAGAATGGCTACTTCTCCTTAACCAAAATCGTAACACCCCATGTCCACTTCTTGATGGTGATTAGCTAAGGAATGGCATTTAACTCAACTCTGGTTAAAGAGATATGAAGGAAATCCTATTGGGAGCAGTCTCTGCAAAGTTTTATCACTACTAGGAGAGACACACAAGAAGAGACGCTCTCTTTCTTCTACTTCTGAAGGCTGTTATATCAAGATGTGACATCTGGGACTACTGCTGCCATTGTGTTACCAGCCTTGGGATACAGGCAACACCCAGATGGCAGAATAAAAACATGAAAAGAACCTGGTCTTTGATGACATGATTGAGTCTGCCCTACTTCAGGACTTCCTGCGATGAATGCTACTGGCTTTCCCCTTTAAGCTTTTTTGAGGTTTGGGGTTTGAAGCTTTTACTTGCTGCCAAAAGTATCTTAAAGTACAGTATGCTTTTTTTCTACATTTTGTACAAGTTTCTTGTTTTTAAATCTGAACTTCAGAGAGTTCCTTCTATTGTCATCTATTTTCTTTCAACCTGTGCTGTCCAGTTGCATGCAGTTCTTGAATACTTAAAATGTGGCTATTCTGAATTGAAAAGTGCTGCAAAGTGCAAAATATATACCAGATGTTGAAGAATTCATTTTAAAAAAGAAGGCAAAATATTTTGTTAATAATTTTTATATTTATTACCTGTTGAAATAATAATATTTTGCAAATATTGGTTTAGTAATTATGCCATTAGAATAAATTTCACTTGTTTCCTCTTTTTGAAATGTGACTACAAGTAAATTTAGAGTTACATATGTAGCTCACATTATATTTCTATGTAACAGCACTGCTTTTGAGAATTCCCCCTTTTCTGGTTCATTGGAATATTTTATATTTGCATCATCAGACTGTTTTAAGACCTTTTCAACCATCTTGATTTATCTTCACTTTTAAAGCCTTCATGGCTATTTTTTTCTTTTGAAATTATTGAGTTCTCTTTTCCAAGCACTAAGTTGTTCTCAAATATGACAGACCTGAAGCCTGGAATTATTGTAGAAAATATTTTTAGCTTTATCCTCTGAGAACCTGATTAATTAGGTCATAGAGACCAGGCTTCTGTATTTTTAACACTCGCCCACAGACCAGGTGTGTAGGGTATGTATAACATATAGTCCTACCCTGCCTTCCCTCAAATATCTCTGTTCATGTAGACTACATCATAGCTTTCCATCATCTCACACCATTTACTAAGACTGGTATTCAGTATGAGGCTCTATTTATCACCCTATGCTACTGGATTTATGTTATTATCCATTGTTTGCACATTGGTGTATAGATTTTGGAGACTATGATGTTACTGACCCCCTACCTAGTGACTTTCTTATGTTGCCTACTGGATCTTCACCATCATTTTATGTTACACTGACATACTTCATAACAGCAGCCTTCAACCTGAAGCACACATAGGAGCAAATGAGCTTTTCCAAAGGATATTATATTAGAGTTGGGTATTGTAAATTATGCATTTAACAACGCTGTTTGTAAGTTCAGCTCCTAATAATGGCCTAACCATTCTTTTGGCTATTAATTTCCACTGGCCCCTCAATGTAGATAAAAATAATCATCATCCATGGCTACATGAACTAATTAAACAAAAAGTACCATCATTTCAATAAGAGACAAATTCCCAATAAAATTTTACTTTTTTGTTTGCTAATTATACTAATTTTAAATATATTTATGATTTGATTGATTAAAAATTTTAGTGATAATTCAATCCAGAAGAAACATTGCCATAATTAATGTCCCCATAAAATTTTTAAAAATTAAAAATTAAGTTTATATACATATTTTATTGAAGGCAGTATGACAGGTTGATCAATACTTTAAACATAACAATATATTACATTAAAATCAAATTCTTTGGTGATGGGGAAATGAAAATGTAAGTTCAGAGAAAAAAAGGAATGATATAAAATCCTGACTGCAAACGAAGAACTTGTTGATCAAATTATTATGGTATTTAAATAGATTTCACTCCCATTAAATGTGTAGACACGATTCTATTTTTAAATGTCATTATTTAAAATACACAAAAAATTTACATCCTTTGTAACCATTTATACTTATATTAGAATTTTAGATGTGACAAGAATGTGAAAGGCATGTGAATAATTTTACAACATCTTTTATGGGGTGCAGGAAAAACTGATGCTCTAGAGTAAAAATTGTCAAATTTTATCTGGGCATTCTTTTTTTCTCCAGCTTATCCTATTCAATATAAATTTCTCTTGAAGAAGTCAAATAATGTATAGTCCATATCTCATTAGTTGTGCGGCATAAATACATTCCTGACTTACCATACCCATGGTTTAGAAATTCATTCACATTCTTTGGTTTTATATCTATGTTTGTGTGTATGTGTGTGTGTGTGTGTGTGTGTGTGTAGAGGGAGAGGTCTATCTCTCCATCTCTTTACATAGGTGGATAGGTAGATAGATATAGATATAGATAAGAATGAATAGCTGGAGAGATGGAGGCTCTCTACCTACCCATCTCTCCAGCTACTCACTTTCCACATACTACTTTTCCTTCAAAATCTCAACCTTCAGAGGGAAAAACAATAAAAGCACTCTACCATCTCACAGTCCTACAAGGCTATAAATCCTTCAGTTTTGTCTTCAAGGTTTCATAGTCTTTCTAGAAGTTTCTTGTCTTCTCTGTGGTAATTTTCCATTCTCTGGTTCCTACCAGATGCAGCAGGATATTGTTTTATTTACAAAAGGTTCACCTTTACTTATGCAGGTGTGTTTATACATCTATGTACATGGAAATACACAATTTAATTTTCAAATTTATAAAATATCAAACTATAAGTATATAAAGACAATTAAGGAGTTTATATGTGCATATATGTATGTATGTATGAACATATATATATACACACACATATATATATACATATTCAATATATTTTTCCCACATCATATTCCTCTACCCAGGAAATTATTTAAAAATTTTTCAATATACTTAAGTTCATACACATACACCTATATTTAGTCAAGGTATTTTTTATACAACTGGGAGTATAGTATATATTCTGTTGATCTATCTTGTTATTCTAACTACAACAATGTACAAAGTACCATACTATATTTAACCATCACTATTATGGCCATGTAGGAGGTTTACAATGGTCAGCCTCTCTCTTAGTCACAAACAATGTTGTGACAAACATTCTTGTGAATATATCTTTGTGCTCATGTTTAATTATTTCTCAAGAAGGGATTCCTATAAATGGGATTTCTTGATCAATGACTACACATTTTCACCTTTAATTGATATTGTCCTCAAAAAAAACTGTGCCATATTATGTTCAGATAACAATGAAAAAAAATTTCCCTACACCTTCAGCAAAAATGCATATAATAACTCTTAAAATGTGCCAACCAAATAGAGAGAGACTGAATTCTTGTAGACATTTTAATTTTCCATCTCTGACTTCTGATGCATTATTCTGTGAGAAGTGACATGCACTTATTTTGAGTTTCAGTAACACTGAGTTATTTTTCTTTCTCCTCTAGGCCATATTTATCTGTTCAGTATTATTTGGATATGATTTTTGATTCCCCTCTGACTTATAAAAAACATATTTTCTGGTTTTCTTTTTGAATCATTTCCACTTTTCTATTTTTGTCTTTATCTTTCTTGATCAGCAGTATAGAGAGGTCTTCCTCGGGCCTGCTCACTTTCACCGCAAGCAGCTGACTCGCTTAACATAAATAGCTCGATATTGCTTCTGGCAAGGACACAAACTGAGGACACTCCCTGAAGGGCCAAAGGAATAATCACCTCACCTTCTATTCCTCTTGCTTTGGTTAGTTCTAATACTTTGTTATTAAGTGTTGGAAAAGTCATTTTCTTCTTTATATTAAGGTGGTGCTTTTGAAACTTTTCCAACAAATTGTTCCTATAAGCACAGAAGAGTGAACTTGCAAATAATGATTTGTTTTTCTTATTCCAAACCTCTGAGTAAAATTAAAGGTGCAGGAACATTTGTCAGTTCTTTTACTCTCTGACACAAATTATCTTGGGAAAGAAAAACTGTATTCAGTTGGATGAAGATCAAAATCATGATTAATTCAATTCAACTTTACAAAAATGTATATATTGCATGCTAAAGCTCAATTTAGCAATTACAGTTATTCTTCAGTATCCATGGGGGATTTATTCCAGGACCTCGCAGAGACCAAAATCCATGGGTTCTCAAGTCCCTTATATAAAATGGTATAGTATTTGCATGTATCCTGTGTATATCCTGTCATGTATATTAAAGCACATCTAGATTACTTACAATACCTAATACAATGTAAATATTATGTAAATAGTTGTTATACTGCATTGTCTAGGAAATAAGAAAAAATCTGTACATGCTCAGTACAGATGTAACTATTAATTAAAAAAAATTTTTGACCTTCTGCATGGTTTAATCCATGGATGTGGAACTCATGGATATGGAGGGCTGACTGTATATGGGAATTTTGGGGAAAGTTTTGACCTTTGACATCATAGATTCCCTGAAAGGGCCTCAGGGACCTCCACTGGTCCATGAACCATATTTTGAGAACTTCTATTCTAGAACAATGGCTCTCCATCTGTCTGAATATGATGGGTACTCTGAGCCTCAGACTCAGAAATTTTGATTGGGATAGGCCTGGCCATTGTTATTTTATAAAAATTCCCTAGGTTATTTTAATGTGCAGCTGGAGTTCAAAATCACTGTAGAACATTGCATAGTGTTTTTCATTATAGACACTCAAAGTATATTTTGGGATTGTACTGAAATATCTGCAAGTGCAAAAACATTTAAAATATAATACAATTATCACAATATTGGGCCATAATGTGTAGATTAGGGTTATTTTGTGTGGAGATTGAGCCAGAGCAATTTCAAGACCCTCTTTCTCAGAATTACTGACATCAGAATGGTATTCTGGAATTTCATTTGCATTAGGTGTAGACCACTAGTTTATCTATCAATCTATCCATTCATCTATGTATCTATGTATTTATGTATCTATGAATGTATGTATCTATCTATTATCTATCATCTATCTTTTTATCATCTATCAATCTGTCATATCTATCATTGATCTATTAATTAATCATCTGTCTCAGTGTGTATGTATGCATGTATGTGTGTATGTGTATGTGTGTACATATGTATGCATGCATGTGTGTATATGTGTGTACATATGTACGCACATATACAGCTAATGGAATAGAATATTTAAATTTAATAGTGAAGTGCTTAGGCCGGGTGCGGTGGCTCACGCCTATAATCCCAGCACTTTGGGAGGCCAAGACGGGCAGATCACAAGGTCAAGAGATCGAGATCATCCTGGCCAACATGGTGAAACCCCGTCTCTACTAAAAATACAAGAATTAGCTGGGCGTGGTGGCACATGCCTGTAATCCCAGCTACTCAGGGGGCTGAGGCAGGAGAATTGCTTCAACTCGGGAGGCGGAGGTTGCAGTGAGCCGAGATCGCGCCACTGCACTCCAGCCTGGGCAACAAAGCGAGACTCTGTCTCAAAAAAAAAAAAAAAAAAAAAAGCGAAGTGCTTATTCATATGTGTTTTCACATACATTTTAAAAAGAATCAATATTACAAATGCTTTTCCTGATTGTGAAATTCCCTCTTACATTTTCTGAGACTAACCCATTTCAGAGGATAAATCACTGAAAATAGAACATCAGAGAAGAGGAAGGAGAACAAATGCAGAAGGTTTAGAATTTACTGATTGTGTAATGGTTCTTCTAACTCTTGACTACAGGAAAAGGGGAGAATTGCTATTGAGCCCTCCTGTTCTCATGTCTTCTATGCAAAACCTATTGAGCTGTGAGAATTTCAAGAGCAAAGACAGAACCAGAGGTGGAATTCTTGAAGAGCGCACAATTAAGGTGCAAATTCTTACAGTTAATGCTTTTGCCTTGGTAGATGTGAAATCTAGGCAGTTTTCTAAAAATCTAAACAGTTTACATATTTGAAACCCTCATTGATAGATCTTAATGTTCTTATTTATTACATTGTTGGTAATTCTTTGTTTTTTAAAATAAAACATAGATCCTCTAACAGGTTCACTTAAAATAAGTTTCATATTAATGGAGACAAAGGGTGTTGAGCTCTGGTTTTTATTATTATTTTTGAATCAAAAGAAATTTAGAATGCATCCTAGCACTAAATATAAATGATGTAACTATAACACATCTAGACAAAAGCATAGG
This sequence comes from Homo sapiens, assembly GCF_000001405.40. Classification (NCBI taxonomy): domain Eukaryota; kingdom Metazoa; phylum Chordata; class Mammalia; order Primates; family Hominidae; genus Homo; species Homo sapiens. Next base: position 72,249,112 of record NC_000012.12, read on the forward strand.
AGAAAATCTTCATGACGTTGGGGTAGGCAAAATTTTCATAGAAGACAAAATGGCTAATAGCAAAACTTAAAAAAAATGATAAATTGGATCTTATTAAAATGAAAACATTGATTTTCAAAGACATTCGTAAGCAAAACAAAAAGTAAGCCATGAATTGGGAGGTAATTTTTAATAATCTGTGTACCTGACAAAGAATTTTATCCATAATATATAAACTCAGTCATAAGAAGAGAAACAACCCAATTAAAAATAAGCAGAAGATTTTAGCATAACTTCACAAAAGAAAATATATGAGCTGGGCATGGTGGTATGTACCTGTAATCCCAGTTACTCTGGAGACTGAAGCAGGAGGGTTGGTTGAGCCCTGGAGTTTCAGATCAGCCTGGGAAATATAGTGAGAACTCTCAAAAAATAAAAAGACATATGGAAGCTGGTAAGCACATACAAAGATGTGCAACATTATTAGTCATCAGGAAAATGTAATTTAGAACCATATGATAGATAACTATACACACACCAGAATGGCTACAATAAAAAGAATAAGCAAGTGTTAGCAAGAATGCTAACTCTCATGTGTTGTTGATGGGAATGTAAAATACTTTATAAATGCTCGAGTATTTATAAAGTGTATATTAAACAAATATACACTTACCATTAGATCCAGTCATTCCACTTCTAGTTATTTACCCAAGAGAAATGAAAGCATATGATGGCATACAAAGACTCATACATGAATATTCATATCAGCTTTATTTGTAATAGTCCAAAACTTGCGGTGACTCAACATCCAAGAACAGGTAAATGAATAAACAAAATATAATACCACTTATATAACTTATATAACAAAAGACTACTACTCACCAATAAAAATAAACTGATAAGAAGAACTGCATAAATATAAAAAATTATGCTGAAGAATTTAAAGAAGCCAGATGACAAAAGAATATTCACTTTTGCTTTCACTTAAGTAAAATTCTAGAACAGACAAAACTATAGTGATAAAAAGCAAAATAATGGTTGCCTGGGGCTGGGGAAAAGAGCAAGAGGCCAAGGGAACTTTTTAGGGTGATGGAAATGTTCTGTTACTTGATTATGACAATGGTCACACAGGGCTGAATTCATTTGTCAACATGGCATTAAACTTATACTTAAAATGAGTGTTTTTTATTGCATAGTATAGGTAATAATTGTTATAGAAGTTTGGAGATGAGAGAGGTCATTAAAGGCTGGCAGTGTAGAATGTAGAAATGTCAGTTCTGGCTGAACACTACGAAAAGCTGCTGAAGGCAGTAGGAGGATCACGCTGGCTTCAGAGTCAGATAATCCAGCTTTGAGGATGCTTCCTCTTATCTGAATTTTAGTACAGATTGGAATAGGCTGAAAGATCTTTCTTTGTATGATAAAGGTCAGAGAGTAATCAGGAACCAGATAAAAAGAGAACTCATTGTGTATAGTCAAAAGGCAACTTAAAAAATCTTTCTATTAAGTTGCAAACAGACTCTTACTGGATGCTCAAAGAATGTTTGGCACTAAGCTGCTTTGAAATGCTATCAGAGGCTTCTCAGTCTAAGAAAGGCTTCAGAGTAGATCTGAGGATTTCTTTCCCTTTGGCCAGAGAAAAGGCCAGAGATAGTCTCAAAGCCTAATGTTAAAGCTAATAGTGTATACTGCTGTTTTTACTTGACTTTTCCCCAAAATGGTGTGTAACTTTCAATATGACTTACAGATATATATATATATATATATATATATTTTATTTTTATTGCATACTTTATTTAGAGCATAAGATGCTCAGATTATCTCAGTTCTCCACTGGAAAGCCACTTTTTGGTCTCTCTTATTTATTTAACTTTTTATTTTGAGACCATTGAGATACATATGCAATTACAAGAAATAATACAGAAAGATTCTGTATATCCATCACCCAGTTTCTCCCAATGCTAACATCATCTTACATAACTATAGTATAATATCACAAATGGAAAATTGACATTGATTATGATCCATTTACCTTATTCAGATTTTACCGGTTTTACATGCATTCATTTGAGTGTGTATATATGTTTAATTCTATGCAATTTTATCATGTGTAGATTCATGTGACTACCAACAGAGTCAAGATACAGAACAGTCCCATCACCATAAGGGTCCCTTATGTTGCCCTTATAAAACTGCACTCTTCCGGCCCTCTCACCCTTACTGTATATACCCCCTGGAAACCACTAATCATTTTCCCACTTCTGTAATTTTATCATTTAATAAACATTGCAGAAGTAGAATCATAGAGTATATAACCTTTTGGAATTGGGGCTTTTTTTTTTTTTTTTCACTCAGCACAATTACCTGGAGATGCATCCAAGTTATAAGGTGTATGAATAGTTCATTCCTTTTTATTGCTGAGTTCTACTTCATGGTAGATATAGATGCACCATAGTTTGTTTAACCATTCACCCATGGTAGGACACCTGAGACGGTTCCAATTTTTGGCTACTATGAAAAATGCTATTATGAACATTCATATATAGGTTTTAGTGTAAACATAAATTTTTATTTCTCTGGGATAAATGCTGATGAGTAGAACTGCTGGGATGTATGGTAACTCCATGCTTAGTTTTTAGAAAACCATGAAAAGGTTTCCCAGTGTGGCTGTACCTCTTTACATTTTTTACTAGCAATGCATGAGTGATTCGATTCCTTTATATCCTTGCCAATATTTGGTGGTGTTACTATTTTTTAAACATTTTAACCATTCTGATTGGTTGCTTAATTCACATTTCCCTAACGGTTTATGAAGTTGAAATCTTTTTACATGCATTTTTGCCATCTGTACATCCTCTTCAGTGACATGTTTGCTCATATCAATTTTCTGGTTGAATTATTTTGTTTTTACAACTGAGTATTGAAAATTCTTTATATATTCTAGATACTAGTCCTTTGTCAGTTATGTGGCTTGCAAATATTTTCTTTCAGTCTGTAGCTTATATTTTTTATCCTCTTAACAGCACATTTTCCATAAGTTTTTAATTTTAATGAGGTCTAATTTATCAACTTTTCCCTTTATGAATTATGCTTTTGATATCATTTAAGAATTATTTGCCTAGTCCTAGATCCTGAAGACTTTCTTCTATTTTTGTGAAATGTTTTATATTTTACATTTAAGTCTATTATCAATTTTGGATTAATTTTTGTATAAGATGTGAGGTTAAGGTTGATGTTCTCTTTTTCTTTTTGCCTATGGGTGCTCACTGCTTCAGCACAACTTGTTGCAAGGCTATCCTTCCTTCACTGAATTACTTCTGCACTTTTGTCACAAATCGATTGGAAAACAATCAGTTGGAAATGTTTATATGGGTCTATTCCTGTGTTTTCTCTTCTGTTCCATTGATCTGAGTCCATGCCTTGGCAAATACCACACAGTCTTGAGTACTGTTACTGTATTATAAAGCTTAATATCAGGTAGAGTGATTCCTCTCACTTTATTCTTCTTTTCAGATTATCTTAGATATTCTAAGGTTTGTGCTTTTCATATAAATTTTAGAATAGGCTAGCCAATGCCTACAAAAAACTTCCCTGAATTTTGATAATTGTCTTATACCTACAGATTACTTTGAGGCAAATTGACATTTTTACTATGTTGAGTCTTCCAATTTGTGACTATAGTATGTCTCTCTGTTTATTTGTCATCACTGATTTCTTTCATCAGCATTTGCAATTTTCAGCATCAGATAGTATACATTTTTTTGCCTCATTAAGTTGCCTCATAAAACATTAAGTTTATACCTCAATATTTCATTTTCCTTGGGTTGATTGTAAATGTGTTTTAATTTTGGTTTTCATACGTTTATTGTTACTACAGTAATTCTCACATAATGCCATTGGTAGGTTCTTAGAAACTGTAATTTTAAGTGACATGATGTATGGCAGGTCCTGAAATAATGTAGTTTTGTTCAACATCATTTTGTTATAACTTTGATGATGAAAAATTGGGTTTAGTTTTATGTTGTTTTGCTTAAAGTCAGTTTCCAAGAACCTATTGATGATATTAAGAGAGAGGACTTACTGTATATAGAAATGACATTGGTTTTCATCTCGATCTTATATCCTGTGATCTTGCTGAAATCACTTTTTAAGTTCTCGGAATTTTATTTTTGTATAATCCATGGGTTTACTAAATAGACAATCATGTCATCTGCACACAGGGACTATTTTAATTCTTCCTTTTGAAACTGTATACATTTTATTTCTTTTCTTCTTCTGCTTCCCCCCAACCCCCATTTCAGTGGCTAGAACTTGTAGTGCTGTGTTGAATAGGAGTGGTGAGAACTGAATCTTTGCCTTGTTCCCTATCTTAGAGAAAAGCATTCTGTCTTTCAGCATTAAGAATGACAGCTGTAGGTTTTTAAAAAAATGAACTTTATTTTTTACAGCAATTTTAGTCTCACAGAAGATTGAGTAGAAGGTACAGAAATTGCTCACACATCTCCTTTCCCCACACATGTATAGCTTCCCTCCTTAGCAACATTCACCACCAGAGTGGTACATTTGTTATAACTGATGAAAATAAGGTTTTTAAAGACACTCTTCATTAAGTTGAAGTAATTCCTATCCCTAACTTGCTGAGAGTTTTTAATTACAAATGAATATTGGATTTTATCAAATGCTTTTTCTGCATTAATTGATATAATCATCTTCTTTAGCCTGCCAATTCTTCCTCCTCATCCTGTTAATTTGGGGGCTTATGATGATGAGGCTTGCTATGAAAATTGAGTCTTGGTGGAAAGCCAGGTGTCAGTCATGAAGTATTATAAATGAAATTCAAAGGAATGGATTCATAATACATAGTACAGGAATTCCCTACTGTACATTAAAATTGAGTGGCAGTCAGTGGAATTAAGTATGAATTCTTAATAAAAAATAGTACAGAAAAGGATACATGTATGTTGCATTCTGGAGCAAGGAGGAATGTATTGCCTAATGAGAAACAAAACCACTATTTTCTAGGATTCACTGTGCCTTAAGCATAGTGACCTCATTTCAATAACGAGTACTGCATAATAATACTTCTTCAACTTTACAGGGACCTACAACCTATTCATTCTATCTCATTTTCACTATTTTTAACCTTCCACCCCTCTTATCTCTATTTTCCTTCCTGTCCAGTTTTGATCATGGTCCATGTTTATAATTGCTCCCCTGCCAATATCCTTTATCTCCCTTGTCCCACTCTTCCCTGGTTGTAGTTGCTTGACCCTCAATTCTATTAAATCCAACTCTCCAACTACTCCAGGCCTGCACACACATGCAAAAATTGGCTCTAGAGAAAGTTCAAATTTGTGACTACCAATATAATATGAGCATTTAGGCCCAACAGTCCTAAGGGCCAGCATTTTCATTATCTATGTTCTACTTACTTGTCCTCTTAGATTAGTATATCCTTTTCCTTTTTTCTTCAAACCTTTAACACCTTCTTCCTCATCTTCACTCAGCTGATTTTTGCTTCCCACTTTATTGAGAAAATAGAAACAATGGAAAAGAAAAGAATGTTCACAAACATCCACTACCACAGGTACCCACTTAACCATCTTCCTACTGGTTCCTACAGATGAATTGCCTGATCTCAAACAAAGACCCATGCCTTTTCTTCTAGAACCCATCCCCTCTCACCCGTTATAGGACAAGATTCCAACAAATCCCTTTCTTTCTTGCATCATCAAGATTTTCCCCATGAGTAGATCACTTCCATTAGCATATGAACATGCTATAAATAACTCTTCCCCCATCCAAAAATGATGTCCCATTCTCTACCACTCTTTACAGAAAGGCTCCTGGAAATACTTGTCTGTACTCTCCACATACTACTGCTCTTTTTCCATTCACTCTTGAACCTTCTTCAGTTAGGCTTTTTCCTCCAACACTCCACTGAGACTGTTCATGTGAAGGTCACTAATGACTTGCACAATGCCAAAGATAATGATCACTTCTTGGACCACATATTCTTGACTATTTGCAATACTGACAGAAAAATCTTGATCTTCCCCTCAAATCTGTCCCTCCGTAAGCTTTTGCCATCTTAATAAATTGCGAAGTGGTTTCACCAATAACCAATCCCAAGAGAGGACTTCCACTCTGTGGAGGACAGAAGAGATCATCATCACTGTGTCAACCACAAGGAACAGGAGTCTGAACACTTCTGTCCACTGCGTCCTCAGCTGCAGTGTTACCAATTCCCTGAGTCTATGAGACAGAACACACTCATATGCAACACGTTACATGAAGCAAGTTAATTACTTACAGATAGGCAGCAAGAAACAAAACAAAAGAAGCCTGTGATCCATTGTGAGTAGGTTCCCCAAGGTTCGAGAAAGCTGCCTCGAGCAGATGGAGTCTTGATTGTGCCTGCTTCAGTTACACCACAGCTGAGGAACCTGGAAAGGCAGCCCGCCCTCCACCACAGGGGCAGTGTGACTCAGTGGATGAGCTTTGGAGGTAATCTTCCTTCTCAGGAGAGAGGAACAATCCCCGGGCTGTTCCGGGCAGTTCCTCTTTAACTTGAGATGTTACATTCCCTAGGAAGTACAGGAATAAGATCCAGGCTGTTTCAGGCAGTTCTTCCTTATCTCAGGACATTGCATTCCCAGCACATTTTACAGTTATTCTTGGTAACTGTAAACAAGAAAGGGGGAGAACTGGGTGGGTCCAGGGCCATTCAGGGAACTGTCCTGCGATAAATGTCAACTTCATCCATCTAGCTGCTCAGATCAAACATCCTGGTATCAACCTTGAGGTTTCTTACCTACAACCCATGTATAATCCTTCAGCAAAACTCTTACCACTTCTCACCACCCCTCTACTACCATCCTTATCCAAGCTACAATCATCTCTTGCATGGATTATTTCAATTACCCTCTTTTTTATCTTTCAGTGAATGTTCATTAAATCTACCGGAAGGACTTTTCTAAAACCTACAATAGGTCATGTCATTCCTCAGGTCAAAAGTTGACCATCCATCAACTTTCATGGCTCTTTCCAATTGAAAGTCAACTTTTATCAGTTGCTTTCCATCACTTAGTAGAAGTCTAAGTACTTACAATAGCCTACAAAACCTTACCCAGTCTTGGCTCCCCATTATTTTTCCAACCCCACCTACTTTTCCTTTTTTCCTACTTTACTCCTCTCTGGCCACCCAGACCTGCTTGCCATATCTCAGACACCAGCAACATTCCTGTATCAATTCCTTTGCTTTTGTTGTTCCCTCTTCCCCAGATATCAACATACTTCACTTCCTGCAGATCCTTGTTCAAATTTGAGGGCTTCCCTAACTATCATATTTAGTATTGTAACCCTTTCTTCCTGGGCCCAGCACTCCCTATCGCCCTATCTATTTTACTTCATTTTAAAAAAAAATTGTCTCCCTTATTAGAATGCAAGTTCCACAAGATCAGAATTTTAATCTGTTTTGTTCACTATGCCAAGAACAGTGCCTTGCACACGTTTGTTGCTTAATAAATATTTGTTGACTAAATGAATGAATGAATGAATAGCAGAGATGACAGCCTTTGGACAAGTTTCCAAAGAGAAGCCTTGTGGTCTAATACTTGCATTAGTTACCATGTTGAAAAGAGATTGCTGTAAATTGGTACAGCCCCTTCCTGTGGTACACAGAATATCTAAGGAGAGCTGCAGTCCTTTGAGAGATGTGAAGATCCTGGGCTAGAAGAACAGACCCAGGCTCTCATCAGCACAGAGATGAAGCTTACTGAGAATGGCTCCCCTGGATGAAAGCAAATAGCACTCATACCAGCTATGCCTGAACATGGCACCATGTGAAATGACCAATAACTGCGGTATGCAGTTCTAGTTCCAATAGTTTTTTATTGTGGGGATCTCAGAGGGAATTATGACATTGGGAGTCATTTTCATGAGGCCACAAATAGTGTTGCCAAGTGGCTTAATTTTTTTTATCATCTTTGTTGTAATTGTTGTCATCTTTATGATTATCCTTTCATTATTATTGGAGTGATTATGAGGAGAAAAGCACCAGGCTATCTAATACAGGTTGAACATCCTTAATCCAAAAATCTGAAATCCGATGCTCCAAAATCCAAAACTATTTCAATGCCAACATGATGCACTCCAGGTAACAAGTGGAAAATTCCACACCTGACTTTAGGTAATGGGTTACAGTCAAACAGTCAAAACTTTGTTTCATGCACAAAACTATTAAAAATATTATATTAAATTAACTTCAGGCTATGGTGTTTAAAGGGCATATAAAACATAAATGAATTTTGTGTTTAGACTTGGGTCCCACCCCTAAGATATCTCACTATGTATATGCAAATATTCCAAAATCTGAAATCCAAAACACTTCTTGACCGAAACATTTAGAATAAGTGATTTTTGATATTTCCCCAGTTTCTGTGAGTTAGATTCAGGCAAGAGAGCTAAAATATCTCTCCCAATATAACTTGGGTCATTGTTTCTCAGATGCTTTAGATGGATGAATATTGCTGGAGATTTTAGAAAATCTGGTGGTTTCTGTCTTCTTTCTATCTCCCCTTTTATTACTAAAGAATGGTAGTCAAGGTAATTTGAATTTAGATCTTCTAAAGTTCCTTCTCTTTTAATAACTTCACACATTCCTGACAAGTGCTGTTTAGAGTGGCAGACTGACTTTATGCAGAGGAAGATGGTTTAGAAAATAAAAAAGTTTAAAAAGGGGAACGTTTACATCCTGATTTTCTTTCATGTTTCAAGTGAGGAGTTTGAATACTTTAGATTATAGGAGCAAGAAAAATTGCTGGAGGTCCACTTCTATTTAATAAATTTTAAGAACAGTTTAAATAGTTGGTCCAAAGAAGGGGAAAATATTGATAAAGAGGAAAAGGGAGGAGAGACAGCTGGGTAGAAGATGAGGGTGCAGAAGGGTAAATGTATAGTTACTCTTTTCTCTTGTCTCACCAGATGCTACTTAAACTATTTGTCATGGGGATAAGCAGGATGAGGCAAATTACTTTATGTTCAGAATAGGTTCTTCCAGTAGGGTGAATGCAGCTTCCAAAAATAAAGGAGAGTAGGAAGGAAGGTAAGAAGAAAAGGAAAGAAAATAAAAGATAAAAGTAGTGCAGAAGGTATTCTCAAAGTATCTTTTGCTGTGTTTAAAATGGGTACACAAGCTACGTGAAAGGAAAATGTGAATAGGCAAAGCTGGTGCCTACAGGATGCCAACAGAGTAGACAAACCCCAAACAGTAAAACCTGTTTTGAAAAAACTGATTGGTTGATGTTATGTAATTAGTTCATCTTCTTTTCCATTTTATTGATGCTGTCATTAATTTCCCATTAATGTCCCTTTCTTGGCTTATATAACTTTAGAGCTGCACAGTGAGAGCCTAAAAAAAGAATTAATAAGAATAAAGTGGGTTTTATTTTTTCATTTTCAAACTTACAGAAAATTTACATGAATGAATTTAATAAATTTGCATGAACAGTATGGTGGACTCCTGAATATACTTCTCCCAGAGACCCGATTCAAGTTTTGCCAGTTGTTCTCATGTCTTTATAGTAAAAAGGTCCAGTTCAGGAGAAGACGTTACACTCCATTGTCTGCCATGTCTCTCTATCTCCTTTTAGTCTGAATGAGTTCTGCAATCTCTACTTGACTTTCATGGCCTTGACATTTTCCAAGGTCAGTTATTCAATAGAAGTTCTCCAAATTTCTGTTGTCCAATGTTTCCTCTTGATTATAACCAGGTTATAAATTTTAGAGAAGTGATGTTGTGTTTTTCTCATTGCATTTGATTAGGTGACATATGATACTGATTTTTCCAATTACTGGGAGTGTTAACTTTGATCACTTCATCAGATAGTGTCTGTTAGGTTTCTCCACTATAATGTTAACTTTTTCTCCCTTTGTAATTAAACATTTTGTAGAAAGATACTTTGAAACTCTGTAAAATTCTGTTTCTCATCTCACTTTCATCCACTAATTTTAGTATTTATTGATGTCTTGCTTGAATTCCTTTTGTATTTATTACTTGGCATTCTAATTTAAGAAATAATCTCTTACCCATTTATTTTCTTCCCATTTATCTATTTACTTACTATATAATTGTGGATTCATGGGTTCCTCTTTATGCAGTGGATTATAATCCACTACTCTCATTACTTATTTATATGCTTAAGTTGTTCCAGATTTGGTCAGTAGGAGCTCCTTCAAGGTGGCTCCTGGATCCTTTGGTCATGTTCTCATTGTTTTTCTGAGAACTTTCTTACCTTCTGGCCCAACATGTTCAAAGCTCCTTATTCTTCCCCTGTTCTGCTTTCAGAGTCTCAATAAACTCTTGTTTCTTATAGTGGAAAGCATTTAGAAATCAAGACTGGGCATTAAACTTGCTCATTGCTGCTCAGGCATTGTTGCTCCCAGGTCCCTTCAATGGATACATACAGACACACACTTAAATCCATGTTTATTTACATGTCATATATATTTATATATCCACTCTTCCAATTCCAATCTAATAACACATCATTCATCTCAACTTTTCCTCTTTCCATGTTTGTACCTTCTCCAGCATTAGGAAAGTGGACTCCCTGTGTGGAGCCAAGCATCTGATTCTACCAGGCCTCTGCCCTGCTCAGCAGCCCTCCCTCTATAGACCCTGACTCCCATCAAACTGCCTTCATGCCCACTCTAGCTCCCGCTTTGTGTGGACCCTGACACTCAGTAACACCCTTTCAATGGAAAGAAAGAGAGGCAAGCACTGGCCTCATTTTCTAACTGACCTTTCTGCATTGGCTGGCTATTTAGGCATCATGTAAATGTAGTGAATTGGTAACAGTGTTCTTAAAACAGCAGAGTTATAGCATGTGAGTATTTTATTTATTTAAATTCAACTTAATTAAAATACTGAAAATATTGTAAGATGGCACATACTTTCTATGCACATCTATATATGCACGTTGCTGTATAGGAAGGGATCCACAAAATCATGGTTTACTGCAATGTGTGCACAGTTTAGGAATTTTTTTCAAGTGCAAATTTGACATTAGGTGCTTCTTACCTTATATGCTGATTTCAAAATCTAACTCTTCTATCAAGTAGGACTCTATTGTATAGCCTAAATTGTTTCAACATCTACTCAAATTCTTTCTCCAGGAGAACCATCATTTGGTTTCCAAAAAGGAAGCTGAGAGGATCACACACTGATTCTAGAACATATTACTTATTCAGGAAAAATGATACTTTTTTTTGGTAGGTAATCCTCTCTAAAATGTAGATTAATGCTCTGGTGACAAGTTTCTAGGCTAGAGCTAGGGAAAAGTAGGGTCTTGACTGTGGGACCAACTCCAATAGAGTGGCTCACTGGGAGCAACTGGACACGGGAGCAACAATGCCTGAGCAGCAGTGAGCAAATTTAATGCCCAGTCTTGATTTATAAATGCATTTTTCCACTATAAGAAACAAGAGTTTATTGAGACTCTAAAAGTAGAACAGGGAAGGAATAGAGTCAAAGGAGGCCAAGCTGAAGAGCACCCTTATCAGGCATACAGCCAAAAAGAGTGCTGGGCAGGGAAGAGGACATAAGACATAAGCTTTAAATGAAAGAAGGGAGTAGTAAGGGCCAAGAAGCTGATGATAAATACTACCAAATGGAGCCTTCGTTCATTCGAAATACGCGTATGAAGGACAGTATGTCCCAGAATCTTTGCTTACTCTGTGGATACAGAAATGAATATATGTGTTTCCTGCCCTGAAGAAACTTTCATTGTAGTAGAAAGGAATCATGCCAATAGTTACAAGGTATCTCAAGAGTCTTGCTACAGTCTTTAGATTTGTGAATTTTGACAGTCGTTGGTAAATTACTTTCCACAAGGCTTACACCAAGTTATAGAGTTGGAAGCCATTTCTAGATACTACTTTTAACACCCTTTCACACAGTATTTTATGTATTTGAAATGCACAGTTTAAGAAAGATTTAGATTAAAATTTTAGATATTTTCCCCCTTTCTTTCCTTTTCTTGAGATGTTAAGTAAGTATGAAGGAAGTAGATAATGATTTTCTGAGAAAAAGTTAAAGTGCTTACCAGTTGTATTTTCCCAGATCTTGATGGTACCGGACTGGACTCCAAAGGGTACAGTAAATTATCTTTCAGTTAAAGCACTAACTTTGGTTTAGTGTTCATTAACTCTACAATTTTAGACTAGCTTTTGAGTAAATGAACATTATTCAGCTTAGTGTAAAGTTGTCTGGACTTTACAAAACCAGGCAGTCATAACAAACTTTTCTGCAGGCAGTTAATGTGGCTGGCAGAGACCTATTTTGAGGATTTAAAGAAATGATAGATTACTCTTAGTAGTGATTATAAATAATAAGCAATGCTATCTGTGATATTTACCTACTGCAGAATTTTGGCTTTTGAAAATGGAATTTGGCTCCTTTCCCTTTACTTTTAGATATTTATTGTTCATTAGTAAGCTCTCTTTTATAGCTGCTAGTGGACCTTCTTTTGCTGCTGACATGCTTTCAGTTCCATAGAGTTTGTGGGCAAAATGGTATTAGAAAAGCAAGTAAATCATCCTGATGTTCTATATATTACCTTGGCAAATAATTCTTTGGGCAAGAGCTCTAGACTAATAAATGAGAACATGTGGATAATTTAGAATTGTTTCTTTTTTAGAATCAATAGCCTGGGAATTGAAAAATTCAAAGTGCTTTTCCATGGCATTATTGTTTGAATTAATTTTTTACAAAACAATTTCAGTTCATTTGGAACTGGCTCTGTGTCTCTTCAATTTGTACTCTGAGAAAGAACTGAAGAACACTGAACTTTGGAAAAAATTTAATAAAGTCAGTTCACAATGGAACACCAGAAGATTAAGTTCCTCAGGCCTAATTCTTTTAGAATTGTGGGAACAGACAGGAGGTGAAGATCAGCAGCTGTCCATCCATCTGCAGAGCAGAAGCTCCCCTCTCAGGTTGGCAGTAGCAGGCAAAGGCTGGTGAAATGAGACTGAGGTCAAGACTACAATTCGTTCTCTTGTTTTAATGCAATTTCAACTAGCTAATATGTACAAGGCATTTCAGGAGCATTAACATTTTGAGCCTTAGGCAATCAGATCTGAAGGCTCATTCTGTTTGATTCATAATGTGGATTATATTTTATAAGGTCGCTAAGACTTGATTATTTGCATATCCTAGAGGGTATAGCTCCTGCTCTGAACATTTAAAAGGAAACTCCTATAGAACATTGAACATTAAACAGAAAGCTACTATAGGTAAATCTCATAGAAATAAAAAAATTCTATAATCATAGTGTTAAAATTAAATGTTTGGATGATTATCACATCAGCAGTTTAATTTGACTATCTTGGTAACCACTGAAAATGAAGGAGTGGCACAAAGAGCCATTGGTGCATTTTATAACACTGCAAGTTAGCATAGTGATAACACTTTTATTCAGACCATATAGAAACATGAACATTCGTCTCTCATCTACTTGCAACTATATCTTTACAGATAGATATAAAGACATATATACACCCAAGTAAGACACAATTATCACAGAAAGTATTGTAAACATTAATGTTAATTTGTGGACATACATTGATTTGAAACAAATCCTTTACTTTAAATAGCTTTGATTTTCTGTCTATAAGATGAAAGAGAACATTAATAGCCATCACTCATGAAGTTTACCTAGTTGGATGTTAGCGCTTCTAAAAATGAATCAATATTCATTACTTTTCCACATTGAAAGATTAAAGGAATAAATAATTTTTTGAAACTGAAAATGAAATTCTCAGAAATGTCAAGAAAATCTTTAGTGCAGTCTCATTTTAAGAAAAATTGAAGACAGATCATAAAAACCATTTGATATTAAAAAGGCTATTGTTACATAATGTAACCCAATTAATTAGGATCTGCTTAATTTGAAATATGTAACAGAGTAAAGGTAAAATGTGTTTTGCTTCTTGTAACTTGTTTAAAAAACCCCATATAGTTCATAAAAATAAAAATGAGAAGAGGATAAAATTTATCCCAGGAATTGTGTGCTGAAGTATCACCTATTTGTACATAGTTCAGTCCCCATTGCCCCCAAAACTGTATGTGTTCAGAGGTTTTCTGGAGGGTCTTATGCAGAAGTTTGTTCAACTTAAACTGAAGGAAGACATACTTTAACTATCAAAGCTAAAGTTGAAGCATGGGGGTCGGGGAATGGTCAAAACTTTTTCATGGTCCCCAGGTTAAAAAAAAAAAAGCCGTTTCTCTAGTGTGTGTGCATGTTTTGTTTTGTTTTGTTTTGTTTTGTTTGTTTTTTGGTTCAACTCTAAAAACAGGACTTGTTCTGTGACAGCCACATAAAGGTTAAATGGAGGATTATAGATTAAATGTTACCATTCTAGTGCATCTTTTAATTTGCTCCTATACCGAATCCATAGGAAACTGGATATATGTCAGAATGTCATGGACAGATTGATGTATCAATGAGTATAGCAATTAAAATGCATTTCCTGAATTGGAAAGCACAATACATTGCTTTTAGACACAAAGCACAGGATTCACTCATTAAGAATAACTAGGGAGTTAAATTCTAGGGTTTCTGCAGTCTTACTCATGGTATTTGACTGCCTTGGTTCTATAATCAGATTTTAGCAAGCCTATAAAAATACTTAAAACTTTTTTGTTGTTGGTGGTGTGCTTCCAGCATAGCTAATGGATAGCTTATGACATTCAGCTTATAGGTCAAATCTGAGGTCTTATTGCATATCCGGGGAAAATTACTTTTTGAGTAACATATAGTACAACCTTCCACTCTTAATAGGGCAGGAGGAGTTCAGATACAAACACTTACACATTCAAAGTGACCAGATTACATGTTTTCTACTTGTTCTGAAATGACTCCATAAATGCGATTTAAAAATTTATTTCTCCACCACAACACACAAAAAATGTAGCAATAAATTCTAACATGTTCAGGTGAAACCATTCCTTTTCACTTGGCTATTCAAAAGATTATTATAACATCTCTAATACATGAAGAATGTTTGGGAACCTATAACACATTTCTTGTGTGTCTCAATTAAAAAAGACATTTCAATGCACTATACTGACTTTTCCTTATTCCCTTGTAACTGCAACATAATTAAAAAATAAACCGAGTAAGGTAACTCAATGCAAATTCAATCTGATGTTAGAAGTAAGCTGCATATGAGACTAAATCAGATATGGGAGCTTTTTCTAAAACAGGACTAAGCAGTGTTTCAAATCACCTAGAATCAATTATCATGGGACATTGTTGTAGAAATGATACTAAGTTAAAAAACATTTTTCTTATGAAAAAATCACAAGTCAGAGCTTGCCACTTACGTTATGCAAGATAAGTTTAGTGATGATCTTGTAAATGAATATCGATTTTTGTGTAGACTCCAATATTTCTAATCTATGAGAAACTGTTCTGGGATCAAAAATGGCCAACTTCAGAATCTTCTTGTGAAGTGGTTGCTTCTCTGAGAAAACAAACAAAATTGTCTCATATGTGAATTATCACATTTCTTTGTAAGTCTAGCTTTAATACAAGCTGAGTTAAAAACCAAAAAACCCTCCAGACCCTATATATGTATTGTTACTGGCTGACCCACAAGGTGGCACTAAAGAGAAAAGTGACAAAAGTAAAGATCACAGGCAAGTTAGATATTAAATCAACTGTATTATAAGAATTAAATCTATTTCATAAAATGATACCAAATTTTAATATGCCGATAACTCAAAACAGTTATCTTTAGGTTCATTGTTTTTTTTTTTAATAGAGACTGTTCTAGAGCCAAAAGTTTCATTCAATCAAGCAGCTGGTTATTTTCAAGAGTTAATAATTGAATTTTTTGTGTAGTTATTTTGTGGGAAAGTTATTTCTCTTTGTAGATACAGACTCCATGATTATTATTTGATTGTAAACTCTGTTTCTCTTTTATCTTTTCTATAGTGCCTAGTGCTTAATGTTGTTAATACAAATGTAAAAAAAAAAGACCCAACATATTTAACTTTATAATACAAAGCATACTAACATATTTAGATTTTAATATTTGTAATTATAGCATACAAATAAATTTTTTAATGATCAAGAAAAAGCCATTTTAGCCAAAGTCTAATTGTTTGAACTTCAAGAATAATTCTTGGATCCCCAAATATATTTTTCACCTAACTTTCAAGGCACTTGGAGAGTAACTTCTGAGCCTGTATAGGGATGTGAATGGGACAATACTCTCAGAAAAACATGTACAGAGAGAGAAAAAATGGTATGTTGGTGTAGCCTTGGTGTGTAACCCTGAAATTAAAGAGGTATGGAGGATTCTTATAGTGTCATGTGGTGGAAGAAACTGGTAATTTTCTAGCAAACATCTCTGTATATAAGCAAGGAAAAGGCATGAACCCCACCCCCCCAGAAAAAAAGAGCTATTTTTCAGTTCACGATTAAGAAAATATATTATTTATGTACAGATCTAGTACCTGAAGAAAAAAATCAGAATACATCTTTTTCCATAGTTTGAAAGTAGGAATTCAGTGAGGTTTTAAAATAAAACAATTATAATTATTGTTGTATATTTGTTATATATACACATATTGTGATCTAGTCTCTAACAGAAGGTGTGTTTCTCATGTCAACATGACTGTATCTTTGACCAGAATCCTCACTTGGCAAAACTATATATATTTTATATTATGTTACATATCATTAAAAATAAGAAAACACTGTAGTTCAAAATTAGCTTTTAAAATTTACATACAGCGATATGACCTCAATACTAGCGATATTTCATTATCTAAAAGAAAAATTTCACCATATTTCTTCCAATGTCTCTTCATCAGCCCATTTATAATAATCACTTGTTATTCAGATTCAAGAAAATACTGTAATTACCTCATTTAAACAGCTATATTGATAAACATTTATGTATTAAGCAGAATCTATCTGTAGTAAGCGAAGTTTTTAAGTGATAAACAATATTTTATTATTAAATGAAAGAATGGGGAATAAATGATTGGAAGACAGAAAAACATATATGGACTAGAAGATACATGTGGATGAAATAAAGCAGGATATTTTATGTCTGTGTGACTTTACATTAATATTTATCTATTGCGCCTTTGAAGCAGATATTTTTCATGGTTTGAGAGGTGAGGCACCATTCAAATTATGTAAATTTGCGCTGTCAAATAAGCCTGGGTTAAATATATATTTTTGGATGCATTGAAGAGGTAGATTCCTAAAGCATGTAAACTGCTTATTCTGCAGTATGAAAATAAGCTATAGTCAACTCTTTCAATTACTTAGTTCTCAGTCCAGGAATAATAATGTTGTCAGGTTTTCTTTTTATCATTATCTTACAAAATTATAATTATTTCTTTGTTCAGGGTCATACTAGATTATTCTCTATTCATTTATTAACAAACACGTAGCACTTACCATGTGCTAGGCACTGTCCTCTCCAAGGAGAGTATAGACCAGGCATGTTTGCTTCAGTGCTATATCCCTAGCACAGTGCCTGGCACTGACTTCATAATTTATGTAGCAAGTATTCATTATGCAATTGGATAGTTTATATTTGGCTTACCTTTCAGGAAGTAGTATGACATAAAGGTTAAGTATAAAGGTGATGAAATGACCTGCGTGGCTTTGAATTCCAACTCTGCCATCTACTAATTAAATGACTCTGGCCAAGATATTTAATCTTTTTCAGCTTCAGTTTCTTGATTTGTCAAGTGGAGGAAATAATAGCATTGACCTGAAGGTGGTGATTTTCATGATTACATAAGACAGCATAAAATGCTTAGACAAATACTTGGTACAAGTTAAGCCCTTGAAGAATCTTAGCTATTATTATTATTTTCATTAATTCTTCCTGCCATATTTATCTGGAAACATGGATTTGAGCAATTTAAGTTCATGGTAACAATTATAGGAGTATATTCACTATTTCCATTTCTTGAGTGACTAGACAAATTAACTAGTTTAACGGAAACATTTCTGGAACAAGAGTTAATTTCTATTGTTTGTAGACTTTGGTCTATATTATGTTTGCAGGTTTCATGAATAAATTGTAAACATTTCCATGATCTATACTTTGACTTTTTATAGAGCTTTCTTATAGAAGTCATAAACCAAAGAGCCTAGAGTGAACGCTAAAAAGTTTTAACCTAGCATGAGAACCCCTCAAATAAAGATATAACTTTCTTGAGATACTAATTCTCTCTTTGGATATAACATGTAATGCTAAAATTGGAAATGACACTTGAATTATTTGGTCATTCTTTTCCTTACATTTGCTCTTTACAGATATCCATTTTATGCTGTGAGGCTTGTTCTAGCTTGGTATAAACATAATCATGAGACTTTTCTGGGACTAAAAACACATAGTATAATATTAATAGGTTAGGAAATATTTCTATTAAAAACAACTTCAAGTATGAGGCTGCAATGAGCTCTTATCACACCATTGCACTCCAGCCTGGGCGACAGAGTGAGACCTAATCTCTAAAAAAATATGTGTAATAAAAAGTAAAAATAAAAAATGAAAAAAGATAAAAACAAATTCATGGTTTCACAGGTTTTTATGAGGTAAAAAGATATAATCAAATTTAGATGTAAATTCCATTGAGATTAATCCTTTTAAATACACAAGTCAGACAACTAACAGTTAAATGAAGGTGTTAGTTGTTGTGGACAAACTACAGAAATCGTGAAATTTCACCATCTCAATTATAGCTGATTTTAAATAATTCTTTCCTTATCTTCAAGATCTTGAGGAATGTTCTGTCTGGAAGGGTAGTTCTTATATGAAACCCCACAACAACATCAACAGATCAGTGGGTCAAATGTTGTAAAATTTTGAAAGTCTGCAGTATAAAAATATTAATAAACTTTGCAGTAATGTTAATTTCTCCAAATTAAAAATTTCATCAAATGATCAGTTTCAAATTTCAAACTGCTGTTTTGCTATTGCCACATGGCGGCACCACTTCAGCTGCTAAACAGAAACTTCACCATTCTTTTTTCATATTGGTCTCCAGTTGAGGGAGGTCTTCAGAAACATATCCCTCTCATACGATACATCAGTCTAGTTTTGACTGCCAGAATAGTAAGATTTGTTTGTTTCCCCCTGTTCTTTTTCTACTACAGTGTGCTTTTATAAAATTTACCCATTAAAGTTTTAGTTTTTAACTGAATTATTTTTTGCTTCTCATGAAGAAGATTAATTAAATATTTCTTGAGAACATAAAGAGGGTAGTATGTTAGCTTCTGTACTGTATATTTTTCACAGAAGTCCAGAGCTGAAAGATACCCCCAAATCTAACTCCTTTACACTAACATATTGAGAAATTGAGTCCATTAAGTACTGGGTTAGGACAATAGAGGAAGATGAAGGTGATCAGGATCTAGTTCTTTCCCCCGAGCCAAGCTGTTTCTGGACATGAGGTTTTACTCACATGTGAAGAGACTGAGTACCCGAGGACACCTAACTATGTGCTTCTATATACAAACCAGTGTGAAAAGAAACAAAAAAGGCAGTTAAATTGTAAACAATCAAATAGTAAGACCCTGGAGCCAATACATTCACTGAAGATAGTTCATTTTGATCATTTCAGGACCAAGGTGTAGATTTTATTAAAAACAACTTCTGTTTGGCCTCATGTATATTAAATATTCAGACAATTTTTACTTTTACAAGCCCCTGAATCAAATATGGCCACATCATGACTTTAGTGATATTTATTAGCTAAATAAAGTAATCATAAAATTCTCCTAACAAATAAACATGTTTCTGAGAGAAACATCAGGTACTTTAGGAAGTTTAATTTCCTTGTTTACAGCACCACATGGTCCCAGTATTGGTAAAATCAAACCTATCTTGAATCCAGTGACCTATAACACTGAAAGCAACCTTAAAAAGGAATATTAGTAAACTATGTCTTTATTTTTGTGAGGTGCGAACTCTGAAATTTCACCCCCCCACTTTTGCTTTGAAGGTAGAATGGACATTCTCTAGAAAAAATAATATTTAAAAATTATTTTACTAAAGTGCTTGCTTCTTTGGGAAAGCGTGCTATATATTTTCAGAAATTAAAAAAATAAAACTCACTGAAGACCTTTGTAACACTGATATGAAAGGAAGAAATATTTACCTACTTGATCTTGATAGTAAGTTTTATTATGCAAAGTTACATTTAAGGGGAATCCATGAGCTAGTAAGTTGTGTCCATTCTATATTAATAATCTTATGTCCACTCCACTTGGGTCTGAAAAAATAATCCATTTACTAATTTAATCACAGTTAGTAGAGACTTTATTAATTGGTAAATGTATTATTTAATTCTGAAATATTTGAGACTTTCCTTGTAGTAATTTTCAGAAGTACATAAACACATTAGTGAAATACAAAGAAGAACAGATGGAGGTAAAGAGAGGAAAGAGATAACAGACTGAGAACCGTGAGTGAGGGAAAGGGGAAAGATGAAGAGAACTGGGTTAAAGGGTACAAACACACAGCAAGACAGAAGGAATCTGGCTGTTCACTGTTTGAGAGCACAGTAGGGTGACTATACCTTGCAAAAATGTATTGTACTCAGGTGATGGACACCTTAAATACCCTGATTTTGATCACTACATATTATGTGCATGTAACAAAATTTCTCATGTATCCCACAAATTTGTACACATTTTTAAAAAAAGACAAACAGAAAAAGCCTTCTTTGAATCTTTTCTTGACTAATGTTTTAGAAAGAGAAAGTCTTAAAGATCCCTTAGTGGGTAACCTCTTCCTTTAGGCAGTGGGTCTTAGACTCCCCGGGATGATTCCAGAAGCCTCTGATAATCAAATGTACTCAATCCATGGATATTGGATCAGTAATACTAAATTACCAGTTTAAAACCCTAAAGTCAGAGAAGTCTGGTGACCTGCTGAGGATCGCAGGGCTCCTCTTACTTGCTTGCACTATAGTTCCTGATTCTGTGAAAACAAACCAATGAACCCCAACTCCTCAACTCTTAAAATGCATACAGCCAGATACATATGGACAGCAAGAGTACAGACATTTAAAAACAGAGCAGAAAAAAGTAACTTGAACAGAATGTGGCATTTCCCTTGGTCTGTTGCTAACGGCCCACATACAACATGCTTAAAAAATCCCACCCTGGCACTTATTTTCATCATCATTTAAAAATGATTCAAATGGACATTTAGAATGCATGGCATTGAGCATGTATCCCATCTGGGGATAAATGAAAAAGGGCTTCCTCGAGCAGGGCTGTGTTTTTAGTGGTTATCAAGCTAAGGTTAATGTGTAATTGGTCTCTTCTCTTTGGTCATGCTTTTAAAGCCAAACACAATATTTTAATTGTCTATTTTCAGTACTCCAAAGCCAGAAGCATTAACCAGTTCTTTTTGTAAGAAAATAGCTATGGACATGATTTGTAAAATGCCTTCAAGATTTGAAGACATGAAAGAAACATGTAAAAAGGAATTACCTAATTTTCTATTATTCACTTTTTTAATTAACCCAGAAGCCAATCACACTTTGTTTTACTAAACACTGGAGACTCCTGCTTCCTAGATGTCACCTTTGGGGTGGCTGTTTTCTGAATATTGTTCCAATTAGAGTTCTTCGCACAAATTCTGAAGGTTGGATATCCCACATACTTATACATACTCTGCAGTATAATTTTAAACTCCAATATACTCAGACAAGAGTCCATAACCAGCCAATGGGCTATGAACCTATTTTGATGCTGCCTGCTGTCAGCAAACTGGTCTATTGATAACTATCCTAACAAAGTTAAAACAATGTTCATGGTAACACTGGAAAGCTGCAAGAAAGTAATTATGGCTAGGTGAAATGAAAAACTGACCAATCATGGAATGTATTCGTTCACCGTTCTAATAAGCCCAGCTTTTCTCAGTCTCAGGGTTTTGGTCCTGAATGTTACACTGTAGACATTGTGTGTTAATCGTTTCTCCAATCTAAAGATGGGAATTATCCTATGGGGAAAACATCACCTTGCTTTGGCCTTTACTTCCGGAGGATTTTAATGCTTCATTGCTAACATTATTTTAGTACTGCACACCTGGACACATCGCACAGTATAATGTAATATATGTAGTCAGGTTTTGGAGAATTTATTTCAATTTACATACAATCCTCCAAATCCTCTGGCGAGCTTGATGTGAAATCTGACACAGCCACATCTCCCTAGCAGGATCTTCTTTTGCTCTCTATGTTAATAGCCAAAGGCTCCAAGGATCTCTCCCTGGAGCGCGGTGGGGCTAAGGAGTCAGGAAGAGGGGTGACTGCGGGGCTTGTTGCGCTGAAGATTTACAATGTACTTCTTGCAGGCGGCTCAGCAACCCCCTCTGTGGCTGTGGGTGTCTGGTGTGACAGAGCGGAGAAAAGCTCTCTAATCTCCCAGTGCCTGCCTCTGCCGCTCAGTCGCTCCCCTCCCTCCCGCCTTTCCTGCCTCCTCGCGCGCTCCCTCTCCTTTGCCTTTCTCTGGGAGTTTCAGTCCCTCAATGCAGCTGGAGTAGCCCTGGCAATCTAAACCCGAAGCCTGTGTATATACACACACGCACACACGCGCACACACATGCACACGCGCTCGGACATACGCACTTCGGCTCTCCCCCTTGGGATATGGAGCAAACCCAGAGCTTCATCTACCTGAAGGGGATGGCCCGGCCGGACACTTCTTTCTCACTTGTCATCTCCGGAGGGCAGAGCAAGACTGGAATGAGGGAGTCTCGCTGTCGGGTCTGCAACCTCCTGCCGTTTGCCGCCACCGCCGCTTAAAGTGCCCAGGGTGGAGAAGGCTTTTCCAGGACGGATCTCCGTCGTAGCTTCGCGGCCCTGGGACTTCCTCCTGCTGGTTCACTCTAGTCTCTCCCACCTCGGCCATCCTTTTCTCTCCAGCTGCAGGGTGTATGGCTCGGGTGCCTCCCGTGCTGTGGCCGCCGTCACTGCTGCTGCGAGCACATTCCACCCAGAGGACCGAACGCCGCCGCTGGAGTGGGGGGAGAAAGCGAAAGCCCTAACTTCCCTCTCTACACCCTCGCTCTTCCCACCGCTCCCGTCCTTCTCCCTAGCCGAGAACCGGTTGGAAGGCTCCCGCGGAAAGCGAGGCGAGAGCGCGGCGCAGGGGAGGGAGAGCCGGGAGCCGCAGGCGCGCAGGGGCGGGGGCAGCATGTGCCCCGCCGCCGGGTGCTCGTCCGAGAAGTAGCGCGCGCTGGGCAAGCAAGACGCTTTCCAAGTTGGGCGCGTCCCAGAGCTCACAGCCCGGTGTCCAGAGTGAGGCGGGGCTGATGGGGGTCGCGGAAGCTGCCGTCGCTTGTGTCCAGAACCCGTCTTAAAAGAACCCGGGCCAGCATCCCCAGTCGCGCGCCCTCGGCCCGCGTGAGCTCTCCGATGCCTGCTCTGGCTGTGGCCCGGGTGGCCCGCCCGCGGGGGGTGCCAGAGGGGGCGGGGGAGGAGGAGGAGGCGGTGTGATGGCCCTGGACGGCGAGCTGGGGGAGCAAGAGGAGGAGAAGAAAAAGAAGAAGAAAAAGAAGAGGAAGAAGAAGAAGGAGGAGGAGGAGGAGGAGGAGGGGGCCGAGAAGAGCAGCTCACCCTTCGCAGCCGCGATGGGGGAAGACGACGCCGCGCTTCGGGCTGGCAGCAGGGGGCTCTCCGACCCGTGGGCAGACTCAGTGGGAGTGCGACCCCGCACCACGGAGCGCCACATCGCCGTACACAAGCGGCTTGTGCTGGCCTTCGCTGTGTCCCTCGTGGCATTGCTCGCGGTCACAATGCTCGCTGTGCTGCTCAGCCTGCGCTTCGACGAGTGCGGGGCGAGTGCCACGCCAGGCGCCGACGGTGGCCCCTCAGGCTTTCCGGAGCGCGGCGGCAACGGGAGCCTCCCTGGATCGGCCCGGCGCAACCACCACGCAGGCGGGGACTCCTGGCAGCCCGAGGCGGGTGGGGTGGCCAGTCCGGGGACCACGTCGGCCCAGCCGCCGTCGGAGGAGGAGCGGGAGCCGTGGGAGCCGTGGACGCAGCTGCGCCTGTCGGGCCACCTGAAGCCGCTGCACTACAATCTGATGCTCACCGCCTTCATGGAGAACTTCACCTTCTCCGGGGAGGTCAACGTGGAGATCGCGTGCCGGAACGCCACCCGCTACGTAGTGCTGCACGCTTCCCGAGTGGCGGTGGAGAAAGTGCAGCTGGCCGAGGACCGGGCGTTCGGGGCTGTCCCTGTAGCCGGTTTTTTCCTCTACCCGCAAACCCAGGTCTTAGTGGTGGTGCTGAATAGGACACTGGACGCGCAGAGGAATTACAATCTGAAGATTATCTACAACGCGCTCATCGAGAATGAGCTCCTGGGCTTCTTCCGCAGCTCCTATGTGCTCCACGGGGAGAGAAGGTATGGAGGGAGGCGGTGCCCCGCGCTGCCCCACCCCGGCGCGCGGCTCGAACCTCTGGGCGGCCTGCGACCCCGGGGACCCAGCTGGCTTCCAATACCCGGGAAGCCAGGGGTGGGGGGAAGGAAACGAAAGCGGAGTAGGGCAGTCAGAACTCCGGGGTCTCCCAGATGCCTCGGGGTCTCGCTGCCGCCAACTTCGCAAACTGACTCACCGGTGCCAAAAGATGAATGCTGCCCCCTCCTCTAGTCGGGACCTCTCCTCTTCCTGTCAGAGTTCCTTAGCCATCGAAACGCAGGGCTCTTTTTCTGAAGGGTAGCTGATAATCTGAGCGATGCCAGAGTGACATGAAAAGCTTGCCAAGTTACTGTCGAGGGAAAATACGTGGCGCTGAAGGCCAAGACAACAGCGCATCCAGGTTAGCATGTCAGGGCAGGTCAGGGACACACCGTTCTCCACCCCCACCCACAACATGCCCATCTTCCCTGACTATTAGTCTCCTGCCAGGTGCAGAGCAGAGGATGGGCTTTGGCTGCGTCAAGTTTCCCCAAACTTCAAGTTGAGATTCGGAGTGAAAAGAGTGGTTTCCAGAGATAGGCTGAGAGGACCGGGACGGGGGTGGAGGTTGCCAAGGCCAGAGCCAGCGATAAGTGGCCTCGCGGGCGCTGCCAGCTCTGTGCTAAGGCAGGGCGACTCCGGTTGTTTGTTTATGAGTTGCTGCCTCTGGAGATGATTCCAGTGGCCAAGCGGTGGGAAAGCTAGTTGTCAGTCTCAAATGCCTTGTTAGTGTCTTTGCCGCGTTTTACATTTGTGTAGTTTTGTATTTTTATAAAAAATTTCCGAGAGGCCGTGGAGCTTTTCACCACTTGTTTAGAGCTCAGACCTCATAATCCAATAGAACTGAGTTCGAATCTCTGCTGTTCATCTAACTCTGGTGGAGGTTTGAGGAAGGTAATTAACCTTTTCCTGACATGACTACTTCTAGTGCTTATTGCACGCCCATGTACTCAATCCGACAAGAACCCTATGAGGTAGACGCTATTATCAGCATTCCCTATTTTACAGGTGGGGAAATGGAGGCACAGGTGTGTCACATAGCTTGATCAAGATCACCAAGAGTGAGCAGACAAAGCACGGATTTAGACCCAGGGAGTCTGGCTCTTGAGCCTAGACTTTTAATTCTAACTTGGGGATACCAATAATAATATTCTACTTGTAGGATTGGTGTAGACGTCTATGAGTGAATGCATTACAAAGTACTTACCCCTGTGCCTGGCATATAGAGTATCCACCATAAATGCTAGCTCTCATGAGTGTCTTGTGGCAGTAAGCTCTCAGGTATATTGTTGAATGAATAAGTGATTCTTGTTCTTTGCTCTAATTCCCACATTGCTAAGATAACTTAGATTAATTAAATGACTGAGGGCAGATGAACAACCAAAGTGAGCTTAAAAATTAAACCAACAACTTTAGAAGAGGAGGCAGGTTACAGATCAGTAATGAGGCAGAGCCTCTCCTTTTCTCAGGTGATTCTCACAACAGCAGAAAATGGGCTCGGAGAAGCCCAGGGCCCTGGAGGTGAGCAGGCTTGTCAGTGGAGAGTTAGGACTTGAACTTTGGTTCTCTAATCCCTGGACCAGACAGAGCTTATGGTGTTTGGAAACTCTCAGAAGAAGTTATTGTGTAAGAGGCTGGGGAAATTGCAATGTGTTGTGAAAGTAAGCAAAAGTTTTATTATTTATAGAGTTCTATGAAGTAACCTCCTATAAATAAAATGCCCAATGCTTTAGTAGCTGTATGATAGTTAAAACCTCCTATAAGTGAATGTATAAATTATTCACTTTCTTACTCCTGACATTAGATATGGATATTTTAAACCCCCTTCTACCACTTCCTCCAACATGTTCTAAAGAATACAGATTAAAAATATTTTTTAAACCCAGAATTATGTCAAATACGGGGGAAAGGCATAGAAAACAAATTTGCATACTATGTTTAGGAACAAGCTTCTTAGGTCAAAATGTCAATAGTGGGAGTTGCATATCATTACTGATACATCTTGCTGCAGTGAAATAAATGCTTTTGAAAAATCCTGTTTTTTGAGCCATGCCAAAATATGTTTGGCAGAACTGAGCTTGTTTTGGTCAATGCTTTCAAATTAACAGGACTCTTAAAAAGACCAGATGTTTCTGCTTGAACCGTAACTGATTTCTTGTACCCCTAGTGCGTATTTGTACTCAAACTCTCTTGCAGTTTTCCCCAAAGAAGTAAACAACTTGGTTGGAAGTTCAACCTAGTTAACATATAGTTAAACTCTTCATCCCAATAGAAATGCAGAACTCAGTGTTCTGAAAATCCCAGGATTGTTTTATTTCTAAACAGCATCTTAGAGAAAGTCCTTGTTCTTCATTTTTTTTTCCTTCCTCATTATTATTATTAGAGTAAATCTTATAATTTCTTGGATGTTTCTACTGGAGTTGATAAGACAAAAGAAATAAATCTAATAAACCATTTCATAGTTATGCAAACTTTCTATTTATTAAACATTTTTTGTTACTATAGCCACTTGGAGCATGGAGCATTTTTAAACAGACCCATATCAGCATCTCAGCTAGGGTTGGACTTTTATGTTGTCCACAAAATGCAATGTAAATTGGCATTTTAAAACCCACTTTCAAATAGGACGCAGATGCAAGCACTGAATTTTCATTTGATTAATGATTAAACATTTTGGTTTTTAGTTAGATATAATTTTGCCAATTTAATTATAGGGTAATGTCTGTAATAAAAACAAATATGTAATCTGATAAAGGAAGTCATATTGAGCAACTTGAAATGCTTAAAACAGCAATACTACAGTGCAGTCCACTTCTCTTAGCCTATGTGGAAACACTAACTCATTAAAATCCTATCAGTCTGATTCTTCAACTTGCTTCTCAGAGACCTGAGCAAAAGAATTTTGGTGACGGCAGGGAAATTAGATTCTACTGTGTGCTATATACCTTGGACCCCTGGAAGGTTTTACCCACCTCTGGGTGTTGTAAGTAGCCTGGCTTTGTACAACTGGGAAGACTTGCTTTTCCTGATTTCCATACTGTAATGTACAAAGGTTAGAAGACGAGCTCCCTCTTGAAGCCCAAGTTTTCCCAAGTTGAGACAAATTCTCTACTCTTGGTTACTACAGTTGTTGAACATTGAAAATAAATTCTCCTAAAATCCACATGTCTACACACCAATAAGTAAATTAGGCAGAATACATACTCACTTTTTCATCAACTAGGTGTGCAGCAGGCAGATAAAAATGGGTGTGTATTTATGCTGTAGTCTCCGACAAAAGAGTATGCTTGCTTAGAATTAGGTAAAATGTCCGTTTACCTGAAATAATTGCCACTTTTGGGTAGCCAGATGGTGAGCGCACCCGTGTTCAAAGTAGGGTACCTTAATTTAGATCCAGATGGTTGAATTGAAAGGGAAATATAGCCAAGATAAAGAACATTTTGTTCACTTTCAAAAGGGAGACTGTTTTTCTTTGACAAACTTTAATAGGGTCTATAACATGCCAAAGTGAGACGACATTAAAAATATGAGGTCCTTTTCTATAAAGGATTGTTTAGAGAGAAACTATAGTCTCCAAGTAAAATGGGAAAATAATAGTGGTAGTTCTCAAAGAGAATTGGGACCATCCTTTTGCAAAAATCTTGGGGAGAGAATGGAGGATTTTATCTCTGGGTAGGCATTTGCTCTACTGTGGTATTTGTGTGATCTGATGCCTTGTAATTTACTCAGAATGAATTAATACTCATGGTATTTAATACAAACAAGAAATTCACTACATTATTTTTAGATCGAAAGCAACTTCATTTCTCCCATTCACTTCGGTAAGAAGATAGCTTAACATGAGCAAGTAGGAGTATATTGCTTTTTGTCCCTCTATAGAGGACTGTGAACTGAAAAAAATCTTTGAGAACCATTTGTTTCTGTAAAAACTTTTTTCTGTGATTCCTTAATGGACTTAGCTCATTGTTTTTGTGTCAGGCTCACATAACCATATGGCAAAACTGAGTTCAGTGCTGGATTTTGAACACAATTCAAAATGCCACCAGTAAACCGTATCTAGACAATGTTTACTAAAAAAAAAGCTCTGACCATGTAATAATGACTCACTCAGGGAGAAAATCTATGCAATTGGTGTTTGTCTTTCTGTGTTTCCTGTAGTGCCATTTGATTTGATCACCCTGGATAATAATTAAATATACAGTTTTTTCAAATTAATTGACATAAAATTGTGTATATTTATCTTGTATAATCTAATGTTTTGAAGTATGCATACATTTGGAACAAATGTAGTTAATTAACAAATGCATCATCTCATATAGCTATTTTTGTGGTGAGAATGTTTAACATCTACTCTCAGCAGTTTTCAAGAATATAATATATTGTCATTAATTATAGTCACCTTGCTTTACAATAAGTCCCTTGAACTTATTCCTTTTTTCTAAGTAATTATATATCCTTTGACCAGTAACTCCTCAACTCCATTCTTCCCCTAACCTCTTATTATCTGGTAAACATTATTCTACTCTCTAATTCAGTGAGGTCAACTTTTTTAGTTTCCACATATTACTGAGATCATGCAATATTTGTCTTTTTGTGCCTGGCTTATTCACTTACATGAAGTCTTCCAGTTCATCCATGTTGTCTCAAATGACAGGATTTCCTTCTGTTTATGGCTGAATGGTATTTCATTAGTGTATGTATACATTTTCTTTATCCATCCATTCATTGATGAACTCTTAGGTTGGTTCTGTATCTCGGCTACTGTGAATAATGCTGCAATAAACATGTTGCAGATATCTCCTCAACATGATGATTTCTTTTTCTTTGGATATATAATCCACCAGTAGTGGGATTGCCAGATCATATGGTAGTTCTATTTTTAATTTTTTGATGAACCTCCATACTGTTTTCCATAATGGCTGTACTAATTTATAGTGTACTCATTTTCACCAACAGTGTACAAGGGTTCTTTTTGCTGCACATCCTTGCTAACAGTTGTTATCTTTTGTCTATTTGATAATAGCCATTCTTACAGGTGTGAGTTGACATCTCACTGTGGTTGCATTTCCCTGATGATAAGTCATGTTGAACATTTTTCATATACCGGTTGGCCATTTGTATGTCTTATTTTGAGAAATTTTCATTCAGGTCTTTTGCCCACTTTAAAAAATCAGATTTTGTTTTTTCTTGCTATTGAGTTGTTTGATTTCATTATATGTTTTGGTCATTAATCACTTATCAGATGTACAGACTGCGAATATTTTCTCCCATTCTATAGGTTGTCTTTTTACTTTACTGTTTATTGTCTTTGCTGTGCAGAAACATTTTAGTTTGATGCAATCCCGTTTGTCTATTTTTTGCTTTTGTTGCCTGTGCAGTTGCCTTTGTTTTTATTTATTCAATGCAACTCCAAACTGAGCCTATCTGCTTCGGATCCCTTTCAAATAAAGATGGACCTGATACTGGCTTTCCCAGTATTTGTTTGGTTTGCACAACATGTTTGTTTATTTAAACTGATTGTTGCCACTGTGTATGTGGATGGGCTTGAGCAAACAATGCAGGACATGTTTTAGGTGTGCTTGAGGGTGGTGACATTTGGTCAATATGATTTACAAAAATGGGACTTACCTCTGTAAGTATGACTTCAAGGAGTGATACAAAAACAGTGAGGAAGAAATAATTTACCTTTAAGGCATAAATGCTTTACGGTCTTTAAGGAGGGCATCCCTCCTTCACCCCCAATGCTCATCCTCCCAACCCCTAGCAATCATAATCTTCATCATCACCATCATCATCATCATCATTTCTCAATTCTTTGCATGTTCTTTACTGCCTTCCAGATTTACATTACTGGCCAGCTTCTACCAGGGTTTTTCAAAGTTCATGCCATCCTACTTTCTACTACAGGAGACTGCATACTTTCTCCCACAGATAGAATTTTACTAGGCAGAATTTTGGAAAATTCAAACGTGAAAAATACTTCCTGCTTTTTCCAGTTTCCTGGACAACCTAAAATGATGCACAAACAGGCACAGCTGTATGGTGGTGGTGGCAGTGTGAGGGTAGAATAAGATTGGCAGTGTTGCATGGAGCTGAATAAGGGTGAAGAACCCAGGCTCACCCTTCCTGCCTTCTTTGCCTCCAAGCTTCTGAATGCCTGGGTGGACCTGACATTTATAGAACTGTGGCCCCAGTTGTACAGGGACAGGGTGAATTAATTCCTCCCAGTGCACACCTATGTGTGTGCTGCAGGATGAAGTTTTGTTTTAATCATTCACATCTTTCCTCATGACTACACAACTAAAAAAAGAAAAATCAGAGGATAGACAAAGAAAGTAGTTCAAAAACTGTGGTTGTTGGTTACTTTTTACATCTTTTAAAAATAGATTATTTTTAAAAATCTTATATCTTTTAAAAAATAGTTCACTTTTGTTGTGTCGCTGGATGGAAAAGTGTGTGTGTATGTGTTTAGTGTGTTCATTCTCTTCCTCCTATGCAGGGACTGTGGAACCAGACTGCTTGGCCTCATATCCTGACTCTGCCACTTATTAGCTTTAAGACCTTGGCCAGATTTCCTAATTGCTGTGTGTCTAGTGTCCTCATCTGGAAAGTGGAGATAATGATATTCTATTGTACAGGGTTGTTGTGATGATTACATCAGTAATAAAGCACTTAGAACAGTGTCTGATAATTGGTAAGCACATCTGTGGTTATTAAATATAATTTTATTATTCCATGGCTGGAGATCTGCTACTTGGGCTAGTACCAGTTTGTGTAGGACCAACGTTCTTGCTTTGGGGTTTCCCCTTGCTGGCAAAACAGTGGGGAAATGGTCACCGTGGACATCCCTTTGGCTGCTGTTTGTTTTTACCACCTAAGCAGAGTTCAAAAGACAGGGAATGGGAAAAGAAGGTGGGAAGGAAGAAGAGGAGCCTGGTCACCAGAAAAAAAAGAAGGAAAAGAAAGGTTGTGGTATTTCAGCCAGAGAATCTCCCAGCTTGGATCAAATACTGGGAGATGGAGAGGGTTGAGGGAGCAGAAAGACTGAGGGAAACAAGAGAAACACACAAGTCTCTGATTACAGCACTGCTGTCTATTAGCAGTGAGAATAGCAGGAACCAGATAGCAGGAACCAGAGACTGAAGAGTCAGAAGGGTACCAGTACAGCAAGAAGAAAAGCCTTAAGTACCAAGGGAAAGGCGTCTCAATCATTAGATATTGTTCCTAAGACTTTATGTGGTTTTGACAACAGCAGTACTTTATAATACTTCCGTAATATTTTGCCTCTTTCCAATAAAAAAACGTGAATCTCAGACACGAATTTTATTTATTTTTATGAAAACCTAATATTATGACCTGGGAAAGTCATTTTAATGCATTCATAATACCCTTCAACAATGATGATCAAGTACGCAGTACTTATTTTTGGTAAGCATATTTAGTACATAAATGGTGAAACAATTATGAATATTATGCTCTGTTTTTATAACACGATTATTCACATATGCACCACTTCCTACATACATATTGCTGGCATTATTGCCTTATGTTTTTAGTTTACTCCAATGGTTATTTAAAAAAAATAGACTACACACTTGCTTATAGTATTGAATATTCAGCAGGAGTACTTCTCTTCTGAAATAGCAGAGGTTTAATGACTCATTGAAGTGCATAAAAACACACAGTCTAAACAACGACCCATTTTGCCTTAAAGAATTTAGTCATCGAGTAACAATTTGCATTTTGGATTAACAATTTTAAATGGGACACGTGTAACTTCCATGACCTTGTAACAGTCCGCTTACTGCAATCAGTTGAATAGTAACTAGATGTTCCATTGAAACTTTTCTTTAGGTCTTGGGAGTTTTTATTACCAATCTTAAACTACTGCAATATTAGAGAAATTGCAGTTGCTATAGAAGTAGGTTCAAAATCATTTTGCACTGTGTTATGCAGAGATGTGGCCAAAAAGAAAACCTTTCAAGTCATCCATGCTGTTTGTGAGATTCTCTTGGTTTTGGCGGATTCCACAGTGAAATGCCATGAATCAATCTGAATACTAACAGTGTTATGCAAATGTTTGTTTCCTCTGCATGTCTTACCTTTATGAAAAGGCAAACTGAAAAATAATGGAGCAGAAATTGTTTTGTATCACATACTGTAATTTGTTGGCAATATCAACCAACATTAATGCATTACTTCTGCTGAATGTTATCATAATGACTTGATACAAGTAGCTTGCCTAGTGAACTTCCGCAGAAATAAGAAGAAATCAATTCTCTATATCCTTCAGAGGCAACATGGAGCTTTAAGCCTTCCTTCTTAGCTCAACCAAAATGTCAAATAGACAAGTTGTTAAGAAAATAAAGTAATTTATTTTAGATAGAAGAGAATTAAAATACATGTATGCTATTCACATTTTTCCAGTTATGCTAAAATGACATTCTACGAATCACACTCCCAGAATGTCACTTTTGAAAGTGGAATTTTTTATGGTAATAGACAGATTCATTAAAAGATAAAAATGATTTTGTTTAGGAAAGCAGGAGAATAACAGACAACAAAATACTTGTCCCCATTACCTTCTGCCTTTTGCTGTTTTGTTTTACTTTTTGCTATATTTACATATATTTTTTCATGTCCACATTATAATTGAAATATTTCGATTTTTAATTAATTTTTTATATTTATTATACTTGGTATTCTGCTTACCACCTCAAACTCACCACAAATTCACTCCAAACTTGTTATTTTTTTCTCAAAATCACCGTTGCTATGGGACTCTTTGATGTTTTTAATGACAGTAAGCAGAAGAGAAGTCTCACTTCCACTAATTGAAGGCAACCATAAAATATATGCAGTGAAGACAAAATTATATTTTTGAAATTCTGCAGGCACTGTTGCCTGTTAAGGGCACTGACCGGAAACTGGCTCTCTCTGTTAGAAAAAAGAGTATCAAGGTTGAAAAAGATGTTACAGATGGACTTGAAATACTGAGATCTGATGTAACCAGAATCTGCAAGACAGCAGACAGGGCACAAACTTAATATGTGAGTGAAAACTTTATTGAAGGCTTGTTTCTGTGCTACCTGTAGTCAACTCACTCATTTCTCCATCCAACTATGACCTTTAAACTTCCATCCAGGTTTTCAGACCAATTATTATGCTTTCTTCTTCATAAATACTTCTTTGAGTTCTTTAAGCTAATGGTTTTCAACTGGGACAATTTCTTCCTACAGTGGACATCTGCAATGTCCAGAGACATTTTTGCCCATCTCAACTGGGGAGAGATGATACTGGCATCTAGTGGTAGAGGCCAGGGATACTGCTAAAGATCCTTCAAGGCACAAGACAGTCCCCACAACAAATAATTATCCAGCCTAAAATGTCTGTAGTGCCAACATTGAGAAACTCTGCTTTAGGAGAATGTAATTTCTTCTTACATTTTCCCCTTTTTGTCATGGCTTTTTGTATAATACCCGTCTAGGTATATGTTTATTTTATTAGCATAGAAACTCTTTGCAGGAAGGAAGCATATATATTTATCTTTTTCTCCCCAGTATTGAACACTCAAAAATAAATGATTAAAAGGAGCAAATGCTTTATAGAACTTGTAGTAAAAAGCTATTTAGTGGTAGTGTAATTTAACATCTTTAAAAAACCAATCACACTTGGGGAATATTTTACGTCTGATTTTTGTTCAGTTATAGGATCTCAAGCTTGGAAAAGACCTTAAATGTAATCTAGTCCAACTGCTCTTCTTTACCAAGGGACTTCTTTTGATTTTCTAAATACTGAATTGAAATTCAATTGCAATCATCTTCAGGTGCCAGACTGTGAAATTGGTATTTCCTCATTTAGACATTATCAGAATATATGGTGGCCCTCTGTGCATAGATATATACTGTGTGTATGAATTCATTAAGAATATTAATTGCAGAAGAAGTCACTAGGTGATCTTTATAGTTCTTTTCAACCCTGAGGATCAGTGATTTAAATTGCTACCTTCCCTAACATACTTACTTACTTGGTAA
The DNA here is from genome assembly GCF_000001405.40 of Homo sapiens. Lineage (NCBI taxonomy): Eukaryota > Metazoa > Chordata > Mammalia > Primates > Hominidae > Homo > Homo sapiens. The sequence goes on from NC_000012.12 coordinate 72,283,647, forward strand.
GGCAAAAAGAGATTGCACTATGTTTTTTCTCTGCATAAATATTTGTTTAATCAAATTATCCTTAGCCCAGAGGTATTTACATCTTTTACACATAATAAATTCTTACCCACTAATTACTTAATATCAAAGACATCTTTGATTTTTACTTAAAGGCTAATTCATTCTAATTACAACCTCTCTGTTGAACTGTTGTAGAACTCTTCCCCTAGTATTATTAGGTGTCCTTTAATTTTCCATGAGGAAATATTATACATATATATATATATTTCATGGAAAAATATATATTTTTCAATTAGACTGCAAAGGCCTTAAATATGAAATTGGTTATATCTTAAAAAAAAAGTTATACTGAGTACCTAATACAGGGTGAGTATCCCCACTCCAAAAATTCAAAATCTAAAATGTTACAAAACCCAAAACTTTTTGAGTACTAACATGATGCTCAAAGGAAATGCTTATTGGAACGTTTTTTATTAGGATTTTTGGGTTAGGGATGCTCAGCTGGTAGTACATAATGCAAATATTCCAAAATCTAAAAAAATCCAAATTCTGAAAAGCTTTTGGTCCAAAGCATTTCAGATAAGAGACACTCAACCTGTATAGCATAAAGCTCACACATAGCAGACAATATTCGTTCAGTGATTGAATTGGAGTTCTCAGATATTTCGAAGTTAAAAGGGAGTAACTTCGACTCATAAATAAAATCCCATGGGCATCTTTTAAATAGCCTCAGTGAAAAATATTAAGCTTGGTGGACATTTTAATTAATAAGCTGAAAGATAAGATTCACGAGCATTATGTAAGATAAAAGCATATGAAGACAAAATTGTAAATGGGTGCATTTTAACTAAAAGGTACTGACATTTCATTAAGCAGAAAGTGTATTACTAATCAGCAAAAAATAGTAAGAAAAATATTACCATGATACTGGCAAATTGGGAAAGAAGAATCTTTGTTACTTACAGCTGAATTAAGACGTTTATAAATTATGGCTAAAAATTAATTTTACTGTTTTGAAATGTAATTCAGAAAATGTGAGTTCTAGACCCAGCTTTGTGCAAGTTGTCTGTGTAACTTCAGACAAATCATTTAATCCTACCGGATGCACTTTTTCAACTTAGAAATTTATGGGAATAGGACAATTTGTTTCTAATATTGCTTCTAGCTTTAACCTCATATTCATATGAAGATTTACAGTTAAAATCTCTTTTCCATATATTATCTCATTCTATCATTTTGACTTTTGTAAGGAAAGCCTGGAAAACATATTTTCCTTCTACTAATGAAAAAACAGGGTCAGATAGTTAAGTTACTTAACCAAGCGTGGTGTGTAGCAGCCTGTTGCTATTTCCAAGATAACTCTCGAAAACCTTGTCTATGAAAATAAGTAACTATTAATTTTTAAAATGTTTTATTTTTCTCTATTCTAAAACTAAGCTTTAAAAAATGAGGCCCTCAATGATCAATGTAAGCTTCATAATTTAAAAATAGTGTAAAATTTATACCTCATGCTTTGAGCTAAGGGATAGCCAATAAGATTCAATACGCATGTCAACCTGTATTGATTGGTAGTAGTTGCCTGAAGTGCTGTGCTGAGAATAATTTTGAGGCCAAGTTCGGGTTTGGTGGGAAAGTTGCCATGTTAGATTAACCATGTATATCACAGATGATGGAGAGAGGAGTGGTGGCAGAGCTACTTGTGGAGGAACAAGCCTTTTAAAGAAATCGCTTCAGAACTCAATAGTATTCTATTAACAGTCTAATATTGACTTGCCTTATATTGTTTTGTAACTAGCATTATTTAAAAAGTTTAATTAACTTTTGTCATGAATGTTTTTCTTATTTAGAAGAGTGTCTGAGTGTCCTTTTTTTCTTCTTTTTTTTTTTTTTTTTGAGACAGGGTCTCGCTCTGTCGCCAGGCTGGAGTGCAGTGGCGCGATCTTGGTTCACTGCAACCTCTGCCTCCCGAGTTCAAGTGATTCTCCTGCCTCAGCCTTCCGAATAACTGGGACTACAGGCATGCGCTACCATGCCCAGCTAATTTTTGTACTTTCAGTAGAGATGGGGTTTCACCATGTTGGCCAGGATTGTCCCGATCTCTTAACCTCATAATCCGCCTACCTTGGCCTCTCAAAGTGCTGGGATTACAAGTGTGAGCCACCATGCCGGGCTGAAGAGTCCTTCTTAAAATATTTAATCTTTGTCTTCATTTGTAACCATAAACCATGAAAGAATATAGAAGGTGCTTTCAGTTGGAATTTTAATAAGATACGGCTTGATCTGTATAAATATTTATTCCTGTGCTCCAAGAAAGGTTGAAGATGTGAATTAGCAACTGCTCCATGCTAGTCACAGTCATAGGTGCTTTACATCCTTTCTTTTCCTCTAAGCTGTGCAATACTTTTTGAGTTAGACTTGATTATTTACTTTTTCAGCAATGACCAACTACATCTTAGGAAAGTTTAATAATTGCCCAAGGTGGCATAGCTAAGAAAGTTGTGGAGCCAGAATTCAGACCAGAATTTATCAGGTCTCAAAATCCTTTTTCTGAACAAAACCAGGCTGTGTCTTGTTGAAATTTTAGGGCACAGAGATTTCCCAAGTGATGGTCTATGTACTACATATATCTGAGGATAATTTTTGGATTTTGGTTTCGTTGTCTTTACATGTTGTGCAGCTTCAGAGAAGAAAGTGAAGCACACTGAAAAGGAGAATCATCACTTTCCAGTTCTGGCCAGTGTGATGCCAGTGAGCTGTTTTTCTGTACTGTGTAATGTTTCATCTAATGAGCACTTCTCTGGGTTTAACGAATTTATTTTAATTGAGGCAGAAACCTCCCTGAAAAACTTTTATGGTTGGGGAAGTATATTACATATGGATTATGCTTTCATGCTATTCATGCACTTAAGTTTGGTTCAGAAAAAAATATTGCAATTTGGAATAATATATTATTTCATCAACAGAAGCATGTAATGTGGCCATAACTTAACTCACAACATAAATGTAATTGAGAATGTCATTTTCTTTTTTCCAGATTCCTTGGTGTTACTCAGTTTTCGCCTACACATGCCAGAAAGGCATTTCCTTGTTTTGATGAGCCAATCTACAAGGCTACTTTCAAAATCAGCATCAAGCATCAAGCAACCTATTTATCTTTATCTAATATGCCAGTGGAAACTTCCGTGTTTGAGGAAGATGGATGGGTTACGGATCACTTTTCACAGACCCCTCTCATGTCCACATATTATTTAGCCTGGGCAATTTGCAACTTCACATACAGAGAAACTACCACCAAGAGTGGGGTTGTAGTAAGTATTTTCAGCTTAATGATGTTTTTGGATAATGTACACTCTGTAAAGTAACCTGATTTCTGGATTAACAGTGAGTCATTTCTAACCTTTTTACACCTTATATAGTGGAATTCTTTCTTTAATTCTTATGGGGGGGTTTTTACATATTTTACTAGTTTCAAAGTGTCAGAGATAAACCTGTCTTCTATACCCAGCACTCTTATTCCCTTAACCACCTCCACCTCCCTCCCCCATCATCCTTGTTCTTCCTCATCTCTACCTGCACTATTGTACATCTCTGGAACAGCTACTGTTGTCTCTTTTGGAAAATTGCCTGTTTGTATGACTGGGAAAACTACTTCTTTTTATTGTAATGTATTTGAAATGTACAGAACATGTGGTGAGTAATATAGTAAACTCCATACACCTACTAGCCAGATCAATAGAACTAAACATTTTACCATCTTCAGTCTAATGTTATTGCTGAGAAAGTAAAACATAGGATGGAGTTGAAGCTCTCTGTGTAACCATCCCTTGATCTCACTGCCTTGGTCTTTCCCTTAGAGATCAACACTGTCCTGAATTTGGTGTTTGCTACTTCCATGCATATTATCCTACGATTATTTCATATCTATGTATAGACACACACACACACACACACACACACACTTACAATACATACCCTATTTTAAAATTTCATGTAAGTGATTTTCTATTGTAAATAATGTCCTGCAACTTATTTTCATTTCATTTTATTTTCTTAGGAAGGATGAGATAGAGGGAGCATTGTCTGCATTAAATTTATAATAAAAATCTATTGGATTCTCTTTGATGGCTATCATTTGTGACACCATGGTATTCTAGGCACTTTTTACATGCAATTACATTGCATTAGGGTAGATTATCCCATGTTGAATTAACAATTTTTTCCTAATTTCAATGGCTTACATGATATATATGCATTTATTTTAATTTTCATATTAACATTAAGACAAGGTATTAAGATTCCACTTTTTTTTTTTTTCAAATGAGTAAAGTAAATTGAGTACAGTTTAAGGAGGTTAAGTAACTTGTCCAGGGGCTAAACGTAAGCAAATGGTAGAGCTGTAAATCAAATTTGGTTGGTTTGATCCTAAATTTTGGGCTTTTCCCCCTGTGCCTTAGGAACTGTGTTTCACCATTTCACTTGTGTGTCTGTAGGAAAATTCAGATTGTGATTCTTCTCATCCAGTAACCTTTGTATTCAGTGTTGCTTGAACACAGCAAAATAGGTGAATAGAAATCTATATTTTTAATTTGTAGGAAGTTGATAGCTCTAAAATAACCTAAATTTTGAAAAATAGTTTTGGCTAAAGAAATTTTCCTCACTGTTACTTTTAATTTAAGTCATTGTGGGACCTGTTTAAAAAATAAAATCTGCCAGCATACAAAATCAATGACATTACTGAAAAACTGCTTATAATGAATTCATCTATCTAATCATTAAAATCATGTTTTAAATGCACACTTCTTAGAAGGCCAGTAGGCATTTTACTCTTTTGGATTTATAATCATTTGATATGTTGAATTTCTCTGATGTTCATTGATGTCTTCTATGGGCATTTCAAGGCTGTACTCATTGGACCATACACAGACACGGAACACGAAGACATCTCATTTCATTTTACGTCTTCAAAAGTTGATGATTGACTTGCTGTGGGTCAGCTAGCATAGGGTACACTGGAAATTCTTTTTTCTAGTATGTTTTCTTTAAAGTATCTTAAAAGTGTTTTCAGCCCTAAACAATTATGCTTGTTGCTAAGTGACCCATGTTTTAAAGCCAGACACTCTCTAATAGTTACTTAGATGTGACTTTTTGTTAGAGTTAAGAATCTCTAAGTAATTAGTAAATATTTAAAAATTCCTGCTTAATAATTTTTATGTAGAAATGATAAAACATGCTACCAGAGAACACTGAAAGGTCAATTGAAATAAAATTTTAGATTGCATAACCTAAAATACTAAAATCTATAAAAAAGAAAACAAAATTGCCGTTGGGAGCTCTTATTTATCAACTGTGGAAATATAGTTTAGAACTTGACTCCTTTTTTCTGTCACTGTTTTGAAATCCAATCTGTTTTCTTTTCACTGCCTTTCCCCTTTTATTATTCGGAGCATATGAGAATGACATTTCTCAACACTTAACAGCTGGAAGGAGTGGAAGTTTAGCTTTAGAATCTTGGATGTGGGATGATCACATGAAGTCCAGGTGGTCATTTCAGATCAGAAGCTGAAGCAATTTTCTTTGAGATATGAAAGAGGAACTTCAGTAGCATGTAAATAATATACAGCTGAATGGTAGTAGGGCCCTAAGTGTGAATATTTGAGACATCATCATCACTGTTATTATTTGCTGATCAAGCTACCTACATTTTGCAAGGCACTATTCTAAGTAATTAGAAAGATTAAAAAAAAATCTAAAATCCTTCTGGTACAGAGATTGCAAATTCAAGCATTCAGACTGAATCCAAGGCTGCAGCCATGTTTTGTTTACCCATCCCCAAAATGGCTTAACATTTTTTATATTAGTTGTCAACATTTAGAAAGTAGAAGATTGCACATAAACTTATTTATTTCTGGCTTCTCTTGAAAAATGGAAAGCTCTTCTAACACTAAGGTTACACTCCTATTTGGTAACATTTGTTCATTTATTCCTTCAACAAGTATTTATTGACTGAATGGCAGGTATTGTTCTAGGCTCTTGTGATATAGCAGCAAACAAAGCAGAAAAGGTTCCTGCTCCCAGGGAGCTTATATTCTAATGAGGTGAGAGAAGCAATAAAGAAAAATATATAATATGTCAGAGAGTGATATATGCTATTAAGAAAATCACTGTGCTAGAGCTGGGTGGTGGTGACTCACTTACATGAGGCATTTGCTTCCCAGTTTCACTTAATCCAGACCGCTTTTATTCTTTTGCATCTAGTCCATTTCACTGATATTTATTTCCTGTTTTGATCAATCCTATAGACATTTGGAGTTGAAAATCCAGAGGGTAGCCTAGGACTGTGCGTAGGAAAAACAATGAATTCAATAATTGTGGTTTAGGAACACTAGTATTTACGTATTCACGAATTGCTTTGATTGAAACTTGTAGAAAATAAGTTCAAGACTAGTTGGAAGAGGGAGAAATTCTTAAGGTTTGCAGTCTAGGGATGTGCTTCATGGAGGAGATAGGATTCAGTATGGCCCTGAATGATGGTTTGGTCTTAGAGAAGCAGATACTGTGTGCATATAATTCTTTGCCAGGGAGATGTTAACAGGAAAAGACACAGAGGTAGGTATATCTCTATGGAATATAGTGTAGCATGATGATTATAAACACTGATTTTAGAATCAGATTAGTCTGTTTCAGAATTATTTCTTTGCTTTGCTTCTCTGCAACCTTTGTTAATTACCTTAACCTCTTTTTATTCTGATTTTCTTGTTTGAAAACTGATAGTATGAATTTTTCCTTTACAATATTGTTCTGGTTTCTTTCATGCCATAGCAAACTACTCTAGAACTTAGTGGCATAAAACAGCCATTTTATTATGTTCAAAGTTTCTGTAGGCTAGGAATTTGGAAGGGCACAGTGGTGGCAACTTCTCTGTGTTCAATAATGTCTGGGGCCTCAGATGGGAAAGCAGGATGTTTGGGGTGTGACTTAACAGCTAGGGGCCAGAATCATTTGAAGCCATCTTTGTCTGGTGGTTGTGTCATCAGTCTTCTGGGATGTGAGCTAAGGCTGTCAGCCATATATCCACGTGTGGCTTCTTCATGTGGCCTGGCTTGTTCAAAGCATGATGGCCTTAGGATGGTTGGCCTTCTTACGTGGTAGTTCAGAGCTCCAAAGGTGAGTGTCCTGAAAGAACTAGGTGGGCGTTATGTGGAATTTTTAAACTTACCTTCAGAAGTCACAGAGCATCACTTTTAAGACATTCTATTGGTTATAAGTGAGCACTAAGGATAGTGTTCTTTCAGCAAAAGAGGGCATTAGGCCCCAGCTCTTGACAGGAGGAGTGTAAAAGAATTTGTATGCCTGTTTTAAAATTAACACAGTCGGCTCTCTGCCTGCAGACTATTTATATTCATCCTACAAACAATGTATACTTGTCAGTGGGTCTCATCCCATTACAACATCAGGCTCAGACTTGAGGTCCAGGCCTCACCATCTAATTTAGGTTCAGGCATAGAAGAGATCACTTGGTTTGGTTTCTTGGTCATAGTTTCTCTCACTCTGAAGACCTGTTAACGAAAGATACAAGCTACCTTACCTCACTTTTCTCCCTTCAACAGACAATAATAAGACTGGAATATGGTTATGACAAAAGCCATTTCCATTCAAGAATGGAGGAAATGGGAAGATACAGTAGTCACTAGCCCGCAGCAATTCTGAAACCCAACTGGGCACATGTTACCAGTTCCTTAATTATGGATGAATGGCCGCTCCCTGTGAACTGTTCACTTCGGCATTTGGCCCCACCCTTTGGGCTCTTTGTTTTGCCTTCTGAGGCATCCTTTCTTTTCCAATTAAAAAGTAGTTTGTGTTTGCAACCAAATAGTCATAATTGCGTTAAAGTACAGCCAGCACATATCCATGAGTTCTACATCCATGGATTCAGCCAGTGTGGATTAAAACCACTGAAGAAAATTGTGTCTGTATTGAACAGGAGCTAGAGTTTATTTTTCTGGTTCTTCTTCCCAACAATACAATATGGCAACTATTTACATAGCATTTACACTGTATTGGGTATTGTATGCAATCTAGAGGTGATTTAAAGTATACAGGAAGACATGCATGGGTTCTATGCAAATACTATACCATTTATATAAGGGACTTGAGCATCTATAGATTTTGGTATCCATGGGAGGTCCTGGAACCAGTCCCCATAGATACCAAGGGATGACTGTAGCTTGTGTTTGCAATGGAATTGAATAACCTCAGCTTGCTTCCTACCACTAAAATGTTGGGGCTACAAAGACCTATTTTTCTTTTGTATTGGCTCTGTTACATTCAGCCCAAGCAGGTACACTTATGTTAAAAAATGTTGGCTTTTTATGTATCAAGTTATATCCACTCCATTAGACAAAATGATACCCACAGATCTCTTTAAGATGAACCTTTGTCTACTTTGAGGCTTTGTGGAATAAAAATTCTTAGATGCTCTTTTATTTAACAGGCTTTATGAGGCATGCCCTTAAGATCTTTATAAAGCCTTTTGCCTTTTTGAAGAGGTTATGGGGCATCACTTTAAGAGTTTCTGAGGTCTTGATAAAGACTCACCCTTGGCTTCATCCTTAGACCATTTTTGTCCTGACAGTGACCTGAATTTGTTGTTTTTCTGAGGCTGTTTCTTACTATGAGAATCATCTGTTATCTGAAGAAGCTGAGGAGAAGGAAAAGTTTTAATTTCAAAACAGCAAGTCCTGGCTCTTTTATATTTCCTCTAAATTTTGCTTGAAAACCAGACAGTTTAATCTTAACCTCATCTCTTCTCTTTTATAATTTTCATGGCCAGTGAGAAGAAGCCAGGTGGCACTTTGAGTGTTTTGCCTGGAAATCTCCATAGCTAGAAAATATAGTTCAGTAGTTATATTTCTCATTTTCCATAGCATTACAAGTAATGAGGTTGCCAAACTTTTGTCTACTACATAACAAAGGTCCCCTTTCCTTCAGCTTTCAATAACATTTATCTTACTATGCTTCAAGCTCTCACCAACAGCCTCCTCAAGCCCCAGAGGCTTCTGCTAACAATCCCAAGGCTTTTCCAGTTTTTGCTCCTAGTCTAGTCCCAAAGTCAATGCTACATATTTCAAGGCTTTTGATATGACAGTGCCCTAATTCCAAGTATCAAAATTGGTTCAAATCAATATTGCTGAATAAGAAATCATTTGAAAATGTAGCAACAAAAAGTAACCATTTTTAATGCTCACTGCGGAGAGTAGTGTGAGCATGAAAATGCCACGAAGGGTTTGGGTGGTACAGAGCAGGGAACAACTTATCTCTGCTCCACGATGTCTGAGGTCTCAGTGGGAGAGGTCTCGTTGATTGGGGTTAACTTGATCGCTGGGGGCAAGAATCTTCTGACTGCATCTTTACTAAATGATTTTATTTGATGTTGTGTGTTTTATGGAACCTCAGCTGGGGCTGTCATCTGGGGCATCTACCAATGGTCTCTCTGAGTGGCCTGAGCTTCCTTGTATTAATAGCATGGTGGTCTAATGTTGATGGGAATATTTGTTTTTTTTTTTGCTAATATATTTGAGTTTTTTGTAGATTCTGGATATTAGTTCTTTGTCAGATTCATAGTTTGTGAATATTTTTTCCCACTCTGGGTTGTCTGTTTACTCTGCTGATTATTTCTTTTGCTGTGCAGAAGTTTTTAGTTTAATTAAGTCCCATCTATCTCAAAAAGAGAAATGTATTAGAAAGTGATCAAGGTGTATCAAGGAACCCAGATTACAGATGGACCTAGGGCTTGGAGCACTGTGGGAAGCTCAGAAATTCCATTTTGGGTCTTTGTCAATGCTTGTTCTTTACTCTCTTACTGGGGACAGGCTTCCTCTCATCTTTGGTTCATATGCTGGAATATGGCTGCCAAAAGTTCTCAAGTTTTGCATACTAATGTGAAGAGCCCAAGAAAGAAAGTGACCATTATTAATTCCCAAACTCATAGGGAGTGAGTTGATTGCCCTGGCTTGAGTCAATGATCATTGCTGGTTACTGTGTATAGCATGCACATGTGGCATCCTATTGTTATGGGATGTTTGGGGTGTCGTTTTTCTGGCTGGGAACCTGTGGCCAATGGCACTTTTGCCTGAGTTTTGCTTGTGCCAGCTGGGCTCATTTCGCCCACTTTGCCTGGCAGCTGCGCTTGGCTCACACTACTGGCCTAGGTCCCACACTAGCCAAGGATGAGTCAGGTGTGGAACGGTGAGGGGTGTGTGAGTGAGCATGGGGTCCAGCCACGGTGCACAATCAGATATGCCAGCTGCTGCAGTGGGGCAGGCAGCTCCAGATGCTGTCATGGGCACTGGACCAGGTGCACCACAAGCGGCTTTCATGGCTGGTACTGGGGAATATGGTGGTGCTTGGAAGCTTGGAGATGCCAGGAACCACAGGGCCCCAAAGAGGGAGTCACAGCCCTGGCTCAGGGAGTTCCCAGGTCTGGGCTCCCAGAAGGACTGCAGCTCTTCTTTCCTTCTCTTTTCCCACAACATGGCAAGTAAGGGGCATGTCTCAGCCCTGTTTGTGCGACAGTTCTTTTAGCCTCACCATTCAATGGGTCTTGAGTTCTTGTCCTGTGACCAGGAAGAATGAGGTATGTAGGGGAGTGGAGGGTGAGCAAGATGAATAGGAGCCTTATTGAATGATAGAAAAGCTCAGAGGGAACCTGTCTGTGTGTGTGTGTGGTGGGGGGCGGTGGGGCGGACAGCTCCTTTCCACAGCCAGGGTATCCTGACAAGTGTTCAGCTTCTAGCAGAGAAGGTAGCTTCTCTCTGCAGCTGGTCATCCCGTTGCTTGTGCAGCTTTCAGCAGAGGAGGACCTAGAGTGTGTTGCTCCTCTCTGCATCCAGTCGTCTGGATGTCTGCTCAGCTCTGGCTGAGCATGGGGCTCTTATAAGCCTCAGAGGGGAGGAAGTGTACATTGATTGGGTGGCCATGGTTGGGCCGGGAAAAGGCACCACAAGTCCCTACTCTGGTCTGTGGGATGGCAGCCTGTTCCCTGCTCACTGGGGACCCGCCCCCTTCCACCCAGGAATCTTTCTGCCTCCTGCTGCCTGTTCATGGCACCCAGGCTATAAGTGCCAAGGGGTATCTGCAGGCCAGCATCAAGCTGCCCTCAGCTCCACCTTGGCTTCCCTCCTATGCTCATTGGTGCCCAAAATTTGTGGGGGGTGAGGTGGCAGGGAGCTGGAGTGTCAACACTGCCCTGAGCATGTGCACACCCAGCAGTGCTGTGACAGCACTGGAGCTTGCCCCGACTTTGCTCCGAGATAGGAGCAGGCAAGGACAGCAGGGAGAAGCCAGGCAGTGGGAGCAGGCATTTCTGAGCCTGCAAGGGCAAGGGGGGCTTTCCTGGGCCCCCAAAAGTGCAGGGATGCTTGAGTCCGCAGCTGTGGTTTGGGTGACCGCAGCTGTGGTTTGGGTGACTGCAGCTGTGGTGGGGGGTGGCTGGGGGATGGGGGGTGGTTGGGGGGTGGGAGGGGTTGCAGACGGGGCTCCTGCCTGCTCCAGGAGAGGGAGACCTGGGTCTTCAGCGTGGTTTGGGCGGCTGCAGCAGCACTGGGGAGCCCCACCCCAGCTCAGAAGGGGCAGGGCTCCTGCTTGTCCCTGGCTCTCGCGGGCTCCATGGAGAGGGCAGCCCTGGCCGCGCCTCCCTGATGCAGCCAGTGTGATGGCAGCAGCTGCTCCAGATGGCCCACTGCTGCCGTCACTATGATAGGAACATGGTGTCTTCTGTTTCAACCTCATGGATGGGAATATATATTGCAAAAAGAAGGAAGTTTTAGAGAAGGGATGCTGGGCAAAAAACTGCTACAGGTACTCAAAACATACTGTTTAATTTTATTGTGTGGACTGACTACAATAGGAAGGACACACACAATTTACAATGGTGGTATGTATATATGTATACCCACATCCAGGAAAGTACAAGACATATACACATAATGCACATTCCTGATGCTTATTTTTTCTAGATGTGATATTCTGTATATACGCTTAAAACACAGGACTCTTCTGTGAAGTTTTCTACTGAAAACAAATTAAGTCTCATTTTAATGAGAGAATTAGAGGAGTATAGGTTAATGTATTCTAACCATGTATTCTATTTTTTTTTTAAATCACGTTACTAATAGAAGTCCTGTTGTCATTAGACATTCCAATAAGATTGCGTTACAAATGTAATAATGGTCCATAGAGAAACTAAAATAAATAGTAACAAAAGAGTTGGATTACAATCTATTTAGGAATGTAAGTAGAGGCTTCCTTCCTACCCTAGGAAGTGATAGTCATCCTCCTCCTCTCTACTTTTTGAAAACTTTTTACACTCATCTCTCACAGCTGTTTTTCTGCTGTTCATAGAGCTTTCTTGCCAGCTCCTTTAGACTGTGAACTCTTTGAAGGTAGGCACCATCTTTGTAAGATCTGCAGTTCATGTTGTATGTAGAAAATGATAGATACTCAGTGAAATTCCACTGGTTGTCTAAATAAGTCAATTTCCATCAGAGATACCACCATGTCAAGGGTTTTCAAAATCTTTTGGCTAGGTTAATATGTGGAGCCTGAAAATTTGTGAGAAGTAATTTTGACCAATATTGAAATAAAAATAGAAAATGTTACAATACCAGTATCATCACTTTTAAGGACATCCGCAGGAAGATGTAAGTGAAAAGAGTTACTAAAGAGAGTTGGGTACTGAGGAGCAAAGGTTTACCACTAAACAGGGAACTGAATCCAGTGCAGACTCTGAGGAGAAATGGGATGGTTCCTGTGAGCAGAAAGACAAAGAACTGTCTCTGTTCTCCATTAGGAAAGCAGTGCCTGAGTATTGTTGATTTGTTAGTAATAGCTGAGTCATAGCTAGGATAGCTAGGTAGGGCCTGAGTTGGCTCGGTGGTCTGCAGCCATGTGGGTGCCTTTATTGCTTTTATGATGTCCAGCTCACCTCTGCTGCATGAGAGAAATGCCTGAGCCAGTCATGAGTCACCCAGTCAGGTCTGCAGTGGTATCAGAAGGCTACATGGCCAGGTCAGAAGTTTATTAGAGTCGAGGAGTTTAAGAAGTTAAAAAGAAAAGAATAAAATTGATGAACCTCCAGAAATTTCATTAGTGTGGTAGGAGCAGAGCCAATAGGTTCTATTACAGAGTGAGTGTAGAATGAAGAAATGGATGTAGTGATTGTAGACTGTTTTTAAGCGTGCTAGTTAAGAGAAGGGGTAAGAAAATTATTTATGCAGAGTCTGTTCCAAGGAGCTTTAGATTATGGGAGAGCTGAATCTATAAGAAGAGAACAGAAAGTTTCCAGAAAGCAGCCAAGAGCTACCTGATGTTAATGGCTTGTGTCTGTAGGGGAAATAGCAACACTCTTTTGTGCCTTTCTGCAAGTTTTAAGAACCCAGGAATAAGAATAGAGAAAGCAAATGTAGGGAGATTGAACTTGGGGAATTGACAAGGCACACTTGGCCAGCAGTCAGGAGGGTAAGACATCTAGAGTAACCATAAATATATTATTGGAATCATTGGCCATGGTACCCGGAGAAGCAGGGAGGCAAGTGAACCCATAATGGAAGTGATGTTCAGAAAAATGGATAGCAGGGGTGAAGACTACAAGTCACCATAAAAGTAAAATAAGAGTAGAGATATGAAGTGGATGAGCTGGGAAGATTGTATGTGATAGAGAGGAGGGTTTCAGATTTCAGGGTGAGTTGGTGGAATTTTAAGCCTGTTATTGCAAAATTGGGTGGATGAAGGGAACTGAGGATAGAATCATGGAGTGAGCAGAAAGTAAAGTAACCAAAAGGTTGTGTTGGAACAAGCGTCAATAACATGGAGAGGTGATCCTGAACAGGTTGGGAGAATCTCTGAAAAAGCTGTAAATCAGGCTTCAGATTCATGAAAAAAGTTCAAGAGTGTCACCTGCAGGGCCAGGTAGAAAATAGGAATAGTGAAAGCCATGAACACTGAAAGAAGAGAGTTGTTTTCATGGAAGTGGAGGAACAGTGGTGTAAAAGCAGCAATGGCAGAAGCTGAGAAAGTGCTCATCCTTCTCTCTGCCTCTGAGGGTGGATGAGAGCAGATCTGCTTAAGGATGAGAGTGTGGGCAGAAGTAGTGGGAGTCAGGGGTTTGTGCAAAGGATAAAAGTGTTGAGAAAAAGGATTACTTATGCGGCAGACGGAATGGTAGACTGGAGGGACATGTTAACAACAGAACAGAGGGAGGACTGAGCAGGCCAAATTTAGTTAATGGAGGAGCTTATAGAACCATTGAGCCCCAAGGTTTCCATTGGGATATTGATATAATGGAGTAAGCCTCAGCAAATCTCCATCGCCTTGTGACTGGCTTTGGCTTATGGTGGATTCAGTGATGAACAATAATGGGTTTTGTTATATAATCTACAGTTTATCAACTGCCCTGAGGTTTAAGAGTCTACATATTGAAGAGGCTAATAGAAGCTAATAGAAAGAGCTTGAAGTGAAAAACAAACAAATCTAAAAAACAGAACAGTTTGGTCAGTGTATCCATGATTACAGTATGTTTATACTTGATAATGTGTGTGATAGATTGCATGGTGCACAGCCAGTTATTTTTTTCCTTCAGTAGAGAGGAAGGAGATGATTCTGGCTGTGATCTTCCTTCCCTTATTCTTCCTGGTAGAATTTTGGGTGACTGCAGAGGGAGTTGCCAGTCCAGTTGTCTCTTAGATAAGGTCCTGGCATATCTAGAGTAAAGTAATGGCATATAATCTGATAATATTAAAAAGTTTTTCTTTCTGGCTTCAGATTTGTTTTTATTTTTTGACTTTCTTCTTCTTTTACATTCCAGTTCTTTAGGACTTTTACTTTAAAGAACTGTTTTTGGCCAAGCCTTTATAATCCAAGAGAGGTAGAATGTTGTGTAATACTGAGGAAAAAAGGAGTGAAAGATGAGGTTGGAGGTTTATGTAGCAGCCAGATCATGAAGGGGTTTGTATGTCATGTTAAGGAGTTTTGATTGTATGCTTTAGGCAGAGGGGAACCATTGAAGGATTTGAGCTTGGGAGGGCTTCAGGGTTATATAAGGAGCATTCTTTAAAAGCATGGAGATAATACAAAATGTCTTATCCTCTTTGTCAAAAGACTCTCAATTTCTTTTCTCCATTATTTACCTGACCAGGATCTGTTTTCCTGTTTCATTAAGGCTGCCATTTGGGTCTAGCTCAGCTTTCCTGAGGATTAAGGAATAGGCATTAAGTGACTGTCTGGGCAAGCAAGTGGAGTTTAGGTTGCAGTTGGCATGAAAAAATGGCCAAACTTTTGCACCAAATGTGTTGCAGTACAGAGAAGAATCTCTGGGTGACCATGATACAGAAGAAATGATAAGACAAAATTATATTCTAAAGGTTGATGTCACTCAGATTCAAATGGTTCTTATAGGATTTGATATCAAATTTCAGGAAGATTAACCAAGACATTCTGTTGAGATATATTAATATTTCTAGGGATGAGACTTGTAGGAAACAAAGAGACAAATTATTTCCTGAAGAATCAAGTATTATTCTTGGAAGGCCTTTGTACTAAGATGGATAAATAAGGGTGAATATTCAGAGTGGAAGAAGATAGCAAAAGTACTAATAGTACGATCTGTCCTCAATCACTACCATCTACTAATGTTTCTTGACTTCCTTATCAGACCAGATGGCAAGATTAAGACTTGCTGGGTCTGGGAGATGCTGTTGTTTTCTCATTAAGTTTAATTTGGGGAGGAACTGGCAAATGCCTAAAACCAATCACTACCCATATGTGCTGTTCACATGGTACTGAAAATCATTTCTTACTGTCATCTTAAAACCATAGAAAAACATTCTTTTATTCATCCACAAATATATATTGAGCAACCGTGTTCAACAATGAACTGAAATATTGGGAAAATCTGTCATAATTAAGATCAAAGAGATAACTGACTGAGCAGAATTCATCAGAAGTTCATATAGATGTAGGACTTTGAGTTACAGAGAGAGGAAAAATTTCTAAATTTTCTGATTAACCTTAATCAACTCAGTGTCCTCTTTGGGCTTAGCATCATCTTAAATGATTTTGTTTTTATGGGATTTAGGAGCCAGACAATAAGACAAGATAAACATACTATCATGCACTACATGGTACAAGACGCTGTTTTATAAAGAAAAGGTAACTTCAGTGGGATGCTAGATGTTAAAAAAGAACAGAGAAGAAGACCAACGAGGGCATGGATAGTGATTGAGAAGTATTGGGTCTTGAGGGATGGATAGACATCGTGGGTGAAAGGCAAATTTGAGAGTTTTCTTCGTGAGAGGAAGAGTACACAGAAAGGATGACCACTGGGTTTTCTTAGAGTAAGAAACACCTTTTTTAGTTTCAGGAATGGCTGTGATTTAATTACTGAGTGCAGATTTTAAAGAATATTTTTATAACAAGGAAGTACAAGAGGGTAACCATTCTTCCAGGCAGTGTTAGGTTTCATCTCCTCATGCAGCCTTGACCCAGCTGGATTGTTTTCATTCTTTGAACTGTAATAGGCCTTCAGTGTTTTTGAATCATTGTGCTAATATATTTATGTTGTTGTTTTTGTTTTTTCACATCTTTTCTCACTTACTGGATTGCAAGATCTTTGAGGACAAGAATTGTTTCCAGTGAAAAACACACTCATATAAAATATATGTGTATACACACACACACACACACACACACACACACACACATTGCTGGGCAGCTCACAGAGATATGTATTATATATGTGTGTGTATTTTTTATATATATGTATTTTATATACACATAGACATATACATGTGTGTATATATATTTAATATATATGTATTTAGCATCTTGGGAGGCTTATAGAAATAATGTATGGCATATATGTGTGTGTGTGTGCACGTGCATGTGTATACTGAGCAGCTCAAAGATGTATAGCGTGTGTGTGTGTGTATATATATGTTCTCACATGATATATATAGTATGTATATACACACACACATATATATACACACACAGTATATATATGTGTGTGTGTATGTAATCTCCATGGTACATAGCATAGCACAGCTCCTTGCAGTTGTAGTCACTCAGTAAATATTCAGAGGATGGTTGATATAAGATGCAGTCTGAAGAAAAAAATCAATAGGTTTTGATGAGTGCCTTTATTTGGGTGACAAAAAAATAGAAGTGAATCAAAGAAAACCTCAAAGTTTCAGGTTGCCTGACTGAGTAGATGGTGCATTAGCCCTGTGCGGTTATTTCTGGAAGTTTTTCTCTTTGCATTCTTTCCCCTCCTCTCTTACTTTCACCCACTCTTCTCTGCTGAATTCCAGGTTCAGGGGGAGGACTGGCCACAGTGAAGCATTTTGCTTCCTTTCTTCCCCTGAAACTTAGTACTATATGATCCTGTCGTATCAGTGAGAGAAAAATGAAGAAATACGGAGTTCTATTTTTTTTTATTACCTGTGTCTCTCTGATGAAATGTAAATCTTTTAAATGGCAAGTCGGGCTGAAAGTTAGGTTATCTTCACACATGCCTAGAATTAATGCAGAAGTGTCTCTCAGTATTCCAGACAGGGAAAAAAATAAAGGACCACTTTGTCTAAATGGGAGAGTGGTCTCTTTTTTTCCTTTCAGTAATTCATTAGACAATGAGAAATTCCATCAGAAGGGCCTCTGTGGGAATGTAAGAGATGCTTATGGTGGAGACAGTCCTTTTACCTTACTTTCCCTAGGGAAAGGCAGTGCGAACAGTGAGAGAGTAAAATAGTCCTGTGCAAAAGAATCAACTGAGAATTTAGGGATCCTATTAAATAATGTGTTTTTAGAAGGCTATAGAGGAGTCAAGCACAGGCTGAACAGAGACAGTTAGTGGAAATAGCACTGGTATTGGGCAGATTTGGATTGGGTTTTGGATTCCACCACTTATTAGAGGCAAGTTTCTTAACTAGATTTGTGTATTCTCCTATACAGAATGGAGATAACAATGTAGATCTTGTAATGCAGTTGAGAAAGTTAAAAGAAACAATAGAAGTACAGTGCCTATCAAAGTGCTTGACACATAGGAGTGTGCAAAGCTTGGCAGCTACACAGGTAAGATCAAGTTGATGTCTCACTAGTGAGCAAGCTAGGACTGTAGGTAGGGTGGGGGAGAATGAGCACAGATGGTTAAATGGGATCCTCTATGGGGACAGCTTAAAAAAGGTCATTTGCAAAAGGCAAGGAGGCATTGCTTATGAGGTGAAGACAGGAATACTGCTATTTCTGTTATAATACTGCTAGATCTCCCAGCATAGTGCTACAGTGGAAAGTGTTGCAAAATTTGTAGTGTTTATTTTTCCTGTGATTACCAACTTGTGCAAATGACTTATAACCTAATTATTAGAGGAAGTGAGATGTTCGTGAAGTACGTTCATTTATGATTCTGTTACATGTGGGAAGATGGAATGTTCTTGGGTTTGTGGAAGAATTGCTTCCAGGAAGAAACCAGAGAGAGAAAGGTGTTTGAAGAGATAACGATTAAATCAGTAACCTAAATGTTTCTATGATTATTATCTATGTGTGTGTGTATGTGTGTGTGTGTGTGTGTGTGTGCATGTGTGTTTATATACACAATTATATCCTGCTAGTTATCAGGCTGTGATTAAAGGTGGGGTGGAGGAAAACGACATACAACTTGAAAGATGGAAAAGAGAATATTTCTGCCCTAATGGAACTTCATAAAAATCATTCAAGTAATTTTATTTAAAAATTGGATTAAAAATAATTCACTATGTTTCAGGTACTATTCTAAGGTCTTTACAAAGATCATCTCATTTAATATTTATAATAATATAAGGATGTTTCTACCACAATATTTTTATAATCTATAGATGAGGAAATGGAGGCTGAGAGAGATGGCATAACTTGCCCATTGTAAGTGCTGGAGCTGGGCTTAAGCTCAGGTGATCCGACTGCAGAGATCCTGCTCTTCATTGTTTGGCAGAGGCTATGATTGAATGACTATAGGCAGACACAGGGGTGTCTCTTTCTCTTCGTGGAACTTATTTGTTAGCTAGATGGTAGACACTTCTCAGAGAATGTGTATTTTGAGCCTTCTAACCACAGATCTGCTGAGGAAGGCTTTACCTTTACCACCCTTTGGAACAGGGTTTCTCAAGCTCAAGCTCTTTTGGACTGGATAACTTTTGTTGTGGGAGTCTGTCCTGTGCATTGTAGGATATTTAGCAGCGTTCCTGGCCTCAGCTAACTAGGTGCCAGTAGCACATCCGATGTGACAACTGAAAATGTCTCTAGACATTGCCAAATATGCTCTGGCAAAATCACCCCGTTGAGAACCACTATGCTTGAATAATGACTTTGGTGGTTGATGATCTTATGGTGGTGACTCCTTCTGGAGGTGTGCAGCCCATTTGGAGCATATATTCAAGGGGCAACATGGGCTTATCAAGACTCGTTTCTCTCACTAATCTCTATTTACTTCTCCAGATAAACGTGGACCCAAATGCAATGAGAAGAAACCTAGTATATATCACTAGAGATGTTAGGAATTAAAACAAAAGGGGTAAGATATAAACATTCCCTTTTAATATTAGGAAACAGCTTCTCATGTGGAAAGAACACATGAGAAGGAAATTTTTGCAGTATCGTCTATGGTCAGGGATTGTTTGGAGGCTTTAGGGATGGTTTGTGGGTTGTTCAGTTTGCAGTTTCCAATGCACTGTTTTACTGATGTTCATTTACCCTTCATATTCTAAATGTGTGAGACTTGGTGGAGCCCCTACAGCAGTGGCTCTTAAACTACATGTGCATATTAGAGTCACCTGGGGACTTTTTTTCAAAATTCACATTTGTGAACTCTACTCTAGACTTAGTGAATCTGCACATTCAGATATGGAAGCTCAGCTTTAAGGGTATATTAAAAGTCTCAGAGGTACACCCTGGAGCAAGAAGCATAGACTAAAATTTTTCTTCCCATGCCCTCTATTTGGGATGATCTTTGGTGGCTCTGCTTCTTCCCTTTAAGGGCACAGAAGTCACACACAGAGCATGTCTTTAAAATTCATATTGGCCATAACTTTCTAAATTGCTATACCTAGCTGCAGACTATGTTGGGAAATATAATCTTTATGTCACATGGCCATGTGTCAAGCCAAAAATGAGGGGTTCTTAAACTAAGGATCTAGGGGAAGGGACATTGGTGGATAATTAGCAGTCCTTGCCACAGACTGTTATTAAAACACAGTAACAGTATCAGACAGTTGTTGAACACGGAATGTGTTCCAGGGGCAGAGAAAAGGAACCAGGTGATGTGGCTGCTATCATTATCCTTATTTTATAGATGAGGAAATGGAATCTGGAAGGACTGAACACTTGATCATTGTCACATAGCTCGTGGATGTTAGGGCTAAAATGTTAAATAGCTTCTATCTGGTTCTACAGGCATTTTCCACTAGACTAATTACGCTCCCTTAATTTCCTCAAGTAATCTATTAGTTACAGGTTTTAGAGTCTTTAGATTTATATATATAATATTTTGCCCTTATTGGTAATATGAATGTCAATAGTCTTAATTGTTCTGATTTTATTAGAATTATATTACTGTATATTTTGAATTTAATATCTACTTTGTTTTCTTAATTGTAAATGAGGAAAGGAAATACCACCATAAGGTGGGAACAGCTACAGAGGGAGCTTGATGTTATTTAGTAAATTTGGCAACATTTTGAGCTTATAGTTCCCAATAATCCAGAGGATCATACATTAATAAAATGAAATCTTGAAGTTGTCAGAGTGATCCCGCCAGGGCAAGCTTCACAGGAAATCTGATTTGGATTTCTATGAATATATAGGCCTCTCTCCATGATAGCTAGTTCATGAATCAAGTAGAAAAAATACCTAGTTAAGCTTTATTTATCATCTTGAGATGACACAGTCAAACAACTGTCTCTAGAAAGTCTTAAAGCAATGTCTGTCTGATCGAGAGGACAGTTGACAGTGAGTTCCCCATAGCTAAGTCTATCCCTAAGATGGTTACTCTCATCTGAAATTTTTTCTAGAATTCTTTTGATTCCCACTATCACCATGCCAGATTACACATCTAAATGAACCAGGGATGTTTTAGGAAATTATTAATATAGGGAATTCATTTCTCCAGGCTATGATTGACTTTTTAAATGGTAAGCAATTCATAGCATGCTGATGTCTCTAGGGAAGTATTTCCTCTGTAAGCAGGTTGTATAGGGTTATAGGTTGTAGATAAGCAGAAATTGGTCTTAATGTCCCACGTGTCTGTCATCTTATCTTGTGGTTAAAGATTTAGAGGAAGAGAGAGCAAGAGAGCACATGCGAGAGAGAGAGAGAGTAGATATTAACTTTTTCTATTAGAATACTCCACTAGTAAAAAAGACACAGAAAAATTTCAACAATAAAAGTTCTTAATTATGGGAAATAGTTACATGTGTGTTATATCATTTATGGCTCATTTTGTATTTTTATTTAAAAGTATTAAAATCCCAACAGTAACAGCAAACAACTCTGACAAAGTTAGAAAGATGACATTCCTACTGACATGCTCAGTAGGAAATAATAAATGTTATTCCATAAATTAGGTTAAATCATTTCAACAAATTAATCCTCCCTGAAAAATGGATTACTAAATCCCACTAAAAGGCTCCAGCCTAAGTCATTATGGACAATTACATAAGATTATGATGGAACATTGCTGTTGCTCATGGTATGACTTCTGCAAATGAAATCACAGAATCATAAATTGCCTTCGGGGCAAGTCAAATAATTCATTACCTAATGGTAACTATGAATCCAGGAGGATTTTGGCTACAAGAATCGTTTGCCTCTTCAGTAACAGGTTCTAGCATTTTCAATAGGATTCACCCTAACTCTATGAGAGCGGTTGTATTAGGATGTACCTACAACTGGAGAAAGGATATTTCTGTGTCTGGTTTAATATGCAGGAGAAAGCCATTATTAACTGGTTGGGCAATCCCAAGCCGGCAAGACAAAACAAAACAATAAAGCAACAACTCATCAGTAGTGAGATTTTATGGTTGAAGATGTGAAGGCTGTGAAAATGAGTAGGTGCAGTCTGAAAAGAGGAGATCATTTACTGGTTCCACTGATTCTGTGCCTAAAACGTGGATTCTTTTCAAACATGGTTATATGAATTCTCCACACACTCCAAATCTTAGAAGACAATCCTCGATTTCTCTCTTGGTGTTCTACCTCTCTCTACCTTGGCCATTATTACTTTTTAGCTTATTTATACTTGACACTCCAGTGGTACAGACAGCTCCATTTTGCCAGGCTTACTACCAGTGAGAAGCACTAATCCAAAGGCAAGTCTCATGCAGTTTGGGTTGTTCTGTTATTCCCTTTTCCCCTCTGCTGCCTTATGGCCAAGTGTTTTTTCTGCTGGTGGATATCAAATCGAAACTCAGTTTTCTTCTAAAAAGTTATGAGATTAGATGACTTAATCTAGTATTTTGCAAGAGAAATAAATAGGACTTAGATAATCTACCTCTTACAAACGTTTTCTATATTTGTGTATTCACTGAAAACAAACTAAAAGACAGTGTTCATTGATTCATCCATCAGTTTTTGATTCCATGTCAGGAAGTAATTATGGACTAAGCATGATACCTCTGTAAATCACAGGCTAGTCAATGCTTTTTGAAAATCTGCATAATACTAACATTATTAAATGAGAGTGGGGAGGACTTATTTTATGATACATAAAATTCTAGTACTGAACCATATAAGACAGACTTTTGCCCTAATTTCTCGTTCATTTTAAATTTATATTAAACAGCTCGGCAACAGTATTAGAGTAAGTAGACGTACACACTTCAGCAGTAGCAAAGAAAAAGATAAGGATTCTTATCTGTGTAGGTATCATGATTTCATTCATTCAGTCATGTAATGATGTTCTTTTAACCAATATTTACTTAAATTTTTACATTTTCCAGGGACTGTTCTAGGCACTGGGGACACAGCAGTAAATAAAATGGGCAAAGCTTCATGAAGCTTACATTGTTTCTATTCCAGTGGGGTGAGTTTGACAAAAGCATTAAAATATACAATATATAAAATGGTGATATATGCCAAGGAGAAAAGTGAAGTGGGGTAAAGGAATGATGCAATTCTAGATAGGATGTTAGGAAAGGCCTCTCTGAATATGAGTGTTTGAGGAGAGACTGAACAGAGAAAGTAGACCTTGGGATATCTGGGGAAAGAGGATTTCACACAGAGGGAACAGGAGTTGAGGCAGAGGAATGCCTAGAATGTTTCAGGTGTTGCAAAGGCATTAGGAGGAAGAGTAGAATGGTAGGTGACGAGATCAGATATGTATGTGTGTGCATGTGTAGGTAGGGCCTTCTAGGTGGGTATAGGGACATTTAGTTTTTGTCTGAGTGCTATGGGAAGCCTTTGGAAGGTTTCAAGCAGAGGAGTGATCTGTCAGACTTTTTTTTTAGATGAGTTTTCCTCTGTCGCTCTGGCTGGAGTGCAGTGGTGTGATCTTGGCTCACTGCAACCTGCTCACTGAAACCTGAAACCTCTGCCTCCCGGCAAGTGATTCTCCTGTCTCAGCCTCCCGAGTAGCCAGGATTACAGGCATGCGCCACCATACCCAGCTATTTTTTTTTTTTTTTTTGTATTTTTAGTAGAGATGGGGTTTTTCCACTTGGCCAGGCTGGTCTGGAACTCCTGGCGTCAAGTGGATCCACCCGCCTCCCAAAGTGCTGGAATTAAAGGCATGAGCCACCACGCCTGGCCAGACTTGTATTTCAAAAGAATCTCTTTGGCTGCATTGTGGCTGTGTACTATAGTGGGGTAAGGCTGGAGGCAGAGAGATTATGTAAGTGGTTACTGTAGTGTGTGGAGTTGAGTGTAGAGAAGTAGTGGGGTTTGGGATATATTTTGAAGGGAGAACTTCTGGAATTCATGACATATATTTGATATGGGTTGTGAGAAAACAAGAGAACTCGAGAAATACTCTGTTTTATGTTAATATGATGCCTACCATTTCTAGGTTATACAGGGAACAGCTGAGCTGTTGCTCATTGTTGTCAGAAAGAACAGCTCTGAATCAGCTCAATTTAAACTAAGATGGAAATCTTTCCATTGTCTAAATGGATAATACTAAATAACTTTACCCAACAAGGTAACTAATTGAGGCTTTAAGGATGAATTTCGCAGCTAACACATTTTATGTGCACCTGTAAAAATGAAGTTTTTATTACAAATCAGATACCTTATGGTTAAGGTAGGATTTTTTTTTGTCATGCCTGTGTCTTTCATGTTATATGGTCTAGCATGCTTCAGATTCCACCAATAAATGCCTGAAAGCTTCAGTAGAATCAAGACTGAAAGTGTATTTTTTGCTTTCTTTAAGATCATCCTCTAGTTTACATCATTATGGAGGGAGGAACTAGCGAGACTATAAGTTGGGCTCTCAGAGCAGTGTAACTCTAGCTCCTGCATTTCTCGGTGGCTAAAGTACATTTATTTCTCCTCCAGTCCCGTAGACTATTGGTACTTCGTGTGCATGTGTGTGAATGTGAGGACAAATTGCCTTGACCCAGTATTTGCAAATAACTTCTTCAGACAATTGATATCTGAGAGAGGTCGTTTAATGGTCATGTGGACAATTCATTCATTTTTACATCAGTGGATGTGTGTGGCATAGAGGAAGGACTTTGAAGTTTGACAGATTCTAGAACTGATTCTGGTTCTACTCTGTGTTAGCTGTATTACTTAACCACTTTAAATAAGTAATCTAATCTAACAAGCATAATAAAAGCTTGTTAGATAAAATGAGATTACACGTAAAAAGTACCTGGCTTGTGAAGGACGATTTTTCTTCAATTCTTATCTATTCCTGCAGTGTATTACCTTGTCAGAAGCTAACAAGCCCAG